>NC_000009.12:35616060-35767575 GCF_000001405.40 Homo sapiens | reverse complement strand
CAAGACTAGATCATAGAGCTCATCCTGCTCTGATTTAACCCTATTTATTATTTGGCTATTTAATATTGGTATTAGTTTATAAATGTTAATAGTAAATGGAACTTATTTTTGATACTTGAAGTGGCTTGAAGAATGGTGGTATCATTAACACATAGTATGACTCATTTTAAGGAACACATGAATGGCTAATTATAGAAGGTATCTGGTCCTCTGGCTATCAGAAAAGAGATCTAAGAGTTCTCTAAATGTAGTATTAATGAACTCTTTCGGCAAAAAAAAAAAAAAAAAAAAACCAATTTGCTTAAACCAAAGAAAAGAGCATTAAGGCTGGTCATTACACCTCAACAGTAACAGGAACATGAGATCATTTGATATGATTCTGCATGCAGTACTGCTCTATCACATGACACATTGTATTATAGTTGGCCGTATGCAGCCCCAGATTCCCTTTTCTCTGCAGATCAGTGACTCTTTTTGGAAAGAGGTTCATGCTCTATCATACAATAATATTAAGAAGATTACCAACAATCTAAAATGCTTCCTTCAACTGAGGTTTTGAGAAATCACAGAGAGGCAACAACATTTTTCTTGACTTTACTGTATATACAATGGAGGCTCATTATAATAAAAACACAATTTCACCCACTCAAATATAAACTCCAAGGGAGCAAGGACATTGTCTAGTGTTTTCATTACTGTATCTCCAGTGCCTGACTCAGAGTAGGTAATCTATATATATTTTACTACTGAACAGTTACTACTTAATCAATATTAGATGAAGATAATATAATACACAGAACAAAAGTTTAATATTTCTATTCTACAACCTGTCTTTTGAAAGAGGCAGTCATCTTTATTCCAGATTCTTCCTTTCCTACTGTGTCTTTTGTGCAGTGAGAACAAAATTAAGCATGCGATCAAAATGGATCATAGACATAAAAGACCTAAATGTAAAAGCTGAAATCATAAAACTTTTAGATATAGGAGAAAATGTAGGAAAAAAATCTTTGTGACCTGGTGTAAGGGAAGATTTCTTATGCAGGATACAAAAAACACTAGCCATACAAGAAAAAAGCAAAACATTAGACTTCACCAAAATTTAAAACTTCTGCTCCTCAAAAGACACTATAAAGAAAATAAAAAGGCAAGCCACCAATTAGGGGAAAATATTTTTAATTCATATACTCACAAAGGACTTGTATCCAGAATATATAAAGAACTCTTAAAACTCAGTAACAAGAAGCCAAACATTCCAGTTTTTTAAATGGGCAAATACTTTGAATAGATTTCACCAAATATGAGATACTGGTGACAAGAAAGCACATAAAAAGATGCTCAATGTCATTAAACATTAGGAAAATGCAAATTAAAACCACAATGAGGCAGCACTACACACCTACTAGATTTTTTTTTTTTTTTTTTTTTTTTAAGAAACTGACAATACTAAGGCCGGCACGGTGGCTCATGCCTATAATCCCAGCACTTTGGGAGGCCGAGGTGGGCAGATCACAAGGTCAGATCGAGATCATCCTGGCTAACATGGTGAAACCCCGTCTCTACTAAAAATAAAAAAATTAGCCAGGTATGGGGACGGGTACCTGTAGTCCCAGCTACTCAGGAGGCTGAGGCAGGAGAATGGCGTGAACCCAGGAGGTGGAGTTTGCAGTGAGCCGAGATCATGCCACTGCACTCCAGCCTGGGCAACAGAGCGAAACTCTGTCTCATAAAAAAAAAAAAAAAGAAAGAAAGAAGAAACTGACAATACTAAGTGCTGACAAGGATGCAAAGCAACTGGAACTCTCATATAATGCTGGTAAGTGGAAAATGGTACAGACTCTTTGGAAAACAGTATGGCACTTCTCTTTTTTAAAAATTTATCTTATTTTATGAATAAATCAGTAACTTTTTTTTTTTTTTTTGAGACAGGGTCATGCTTTGTTACCCAGGCTGGAGTGCAGAAGCAAGATCATGGCTCACTGCAACCTCCGCCTCCTACACTCAGATGATCCTACCACCTCAGCTTCCCGAGTAGCTGGGACTACAGGCCTGGGCCACCACACCCAACTAATTTTTGTATTTTTTGTAGAGATGGGGTTTCACCATGTTGTCCAAGCTGGTCTCAAACTCCTGGACTCAAGCAGTCTGCCTGCTTTGGCCTCCCAAAGTGCTGGGATTACAGGCATGAGCCACTGCACCAAACTGGCAGTCTTTTATTTATCAAGTAAAACATTCACTTACAACAGGATCTAAGATTTCACTTCTAGGCATTTATCTTAAAAAAATGCAAACATATGTCCACAAAGACTTAAATGTGAGTGTTCATAGCAGCTTCCAAAAAAGTGGAAAACAGCCCAAATATCCATCATCAGATGAATGAATAAACAAACTGCTGTATGTCCATACAATGAATTATTGCTCAGCAATAAAAATGGACTTCTTTTTTTTTTTTTTTTGAGACAGAGTCTTGCTTTGTTGTCAGGCTGGAGTGCAGTGGCGCCATCTTGGCTCATTGCAATCTGTCTCCTGAGTTCAAGAGATCCTCCTGCCTCAGCCTCCTGAGTAGCTGGGACTACTGGTGTGCACCACCACGCCTGGCTAGTTTTTGTATTTTTAGTCAAGACAGGATTTCACCATGTTGGCCAGGCTGGCCTCAAACTCCTGACCTCCCATGATCTGCCCACCTCGGCATCCCAAAGTGCTGGGATTATAGGAGTGAGCCATCGTGCCTGGCCAAACTATTAATATACATAAAAACATGAATAAATATCAAAAACAGTGTGCTGAGTTAAAGAAGCCAAATGCAGAATACATACTCTGTGACTCCATTTACATGAAACTCTACAAAACAAATCTACAGTGATAGAAACC
Source organism: Homo sapiens (assembly GCF_000001405.40). Lineage (NCBI taxonomy): Eukaryota > Metazoa > Chordata > Mammalia > Primates > Hominidae > Homo > Homo sapiens. Next base: position 35,764,707 of record NC_000009.12, on the reverse strand, counting down.
AGATCAGTGTGGATTGCAATGAGTGAGGAGTAAATGCAAAGGGTAATAAGGAAATTTGGGGGCAGTGGTGGGGTGGTGACAGAGATGTTCTACATCTTGACTGGGAAGATGATTACACAGGTATATACATCTGCTAAAACTCACTGAATTGTACATTTTAAATGGGTACATCTTCCTGTATATAAATTATATTTCAATAAAGTTGAAAAAAGTATTTTGAAACAGTTATTTAAAAGTATTTTTTGTTATCAATAGTAGCTGGCCAACAAATCATTATAGAGATTAAGCAGCCCATTAGTAATATAAGGTTATCCTTGCTCCATTAGCCTTCTGAAACATACCGGAAGAATGAGTTCTCTGTCCAGTGGAAATGGAGGTTAATTTGTTATCCAATCCACAGGAGTTAAAGAGTGTGAATATGCACACTTCTCATCATTAGCTTAAGTCGAATTTTTAAAAATCAGACCAAGTGCTAAGAATTGAAATTAACTTTTTCCCAAAAGGATAATGCTTCAAAAGATCTCCATTGTGGGAAAACAAAACACTTCACTTCTTTTTTCTTCTTCTTCTTTTTATTTTATTTTATTTTCAAGACAGGGTCTCACTCTGTCTCCCAGGCTGAGTGTGGTGGCATGATCATGGCTCACTACAGCCTCAACCTCCTAGCCTCAAGCCGTCCTCCCACCTCAGCCTCCTGAGTAAAAAAAGGAAGTCCCTCTTCCTCCCCTCCTCTCTCTCCTTTCTCAATCTCTCTTATCAGAGTTAATGTCTGTCATCAGTCTGATGAGTTTTTTCTTTTCTCTTTTCTTTTTTTTTTTTTTTTTTTGAGATGGAGTCTCACTCTGTTGCCCAAACTGGAGTGCAGTGGCAAGATCTTGACTCACTGCAATCTCCATCTCCCAGGTTCAAGCGATTCTCCTGCCTCAGCCTCCCAAGCAGCTAGGATAACAGGCATACACCACCACACTCGGCTAATTTTTGTATTTTTAGTAGAGACAGGGTTTCGCCATGTTGGCCAGGCTGGTCTCGAACTCCTGACCTCAGGTGATCTGCCTGCCTTGGCCTCTCAAAGTGCTGGGATTACAGGCGTGAGCCATCGCGCCCAGTCTGATGTGTTTTCTTCCAGGCAATTTCTATATATCTCATTCTTGTTTTAAAAAATGCATGCATGTGAGATATAAATAGGATTGTATTATTCATATTATTATGTAACTTGCTTTTTATGGGCTGTGATTTTCTGTTTCTTTTGTATCTTCTTGTCATGCCTGATTAAAACTGTACACATGAAAATCTTGCCAAAGGTGAAGTCTAGGAATAGGGAGGGACTCCGTTAATCTCACTATTATATAGCCCATTAATTACTCATAATAGGATGGATTTAGGCTCTCATTCAGCTGAACAATGAGGATCCTAAAGAATGCTAACACAAGGTTAGCCTGAAAAGTTCTAAGAGATAGGGAGAAGGTTCTTAAACAGGGAAATCTCAGGACGAAAACAATGTTCCAAGAAGAATAAAATGGCAACAGTATATATAATATAGAACAGAATTAGACAGCAAGGAGACTAGTTAAGTGGCTAATACAGAATAGTAAATTAGAAGAAATGAGATTCTGGATTACAGTGGTGGCCAGTAGAATGGAGAGAAGCTTTCATTGAATTCTAACAAGGCAGACTTGTAGAGTGGAAGAAACAAAAGATTTGAACTAGAAGAGCTAGATTTGAATCCCAGCTCTGAAATTTACTAGCTGTGTGACCTCTGGCAAGACACTTCTTCCGTATCTCAGCTTCCCTTTCAATAAAAGGAACACCTTGAAATATCAGAGCCTTTAACTTTTTTTTTTTAACAGCAGAACTGTTTTTTTTTTTCCGTTAAAAAGAAAATCTTCAAGGAAGCCAGTACGTTTAATTTGTAAAACAAATAAAAGCAAGATTGTTCTGGTTGAAGCATAGGTAAAAGGGCTCAGAGCCCCAGCTAGCCTTCATTTCACCCTTCTCAGCCACTTCTGAGGCATCCTTCAGAAATCTCCAGAGGGCTGAGGAACAAAGTTTGAGAAATCTCTAAAGACTTTACTATCAACTCTATTATCAATTACTTGAGGGGGTAAAATTGACAGAGGTGCCTAGAAAAATAATAATGAATTTAATAGTGCCACAGAATCATATGACAGAAAAAGGGCGAATTGACTTTTCCTAAATCTGCCTGCTTCTCCTTGCAGGTTGAACCCAATTTAATGTCTAAAACCTCATCCGACCCTTGTGCAAACGGTCATCTAACCTCTATATGAACAATATGGCCAAAATTTACTGCCTAACAATTCAGTTCATTCCACTTTGGGGTCCTCAAATGAGTCAAAATTTCCTTATCAAGCCAAAATTTGTCCTCCATCACTAAATAAAAGTTCTTAATCTATCTTCTGGAACTAAACCAGTAAATCTAATTGCTCCTTCATCATGACAGTCCTTCAATTGTCTGAGGAGAGCTATCATGTCTGCCTTATTTCCTTGTATTCTCCCTTGCTCTTGCTCTGGCATGACATGAATATACCATGGAGGCAGCCTGCTCCTGTTTTGGATCAAGTTGAATTTTTTTTTTCAACAGAATCTCACACTGATCTCGGCTCACTGCAACCTCTGCCTCAGGTTCAAGTGATTCTCCTGCCTCAGCTGGGATGACAGGCATGTGCCAACATGCCTGGATAATTTTTTGTATTTTTGGTAGAGATGGGGGGTTTTACCATGTTGACCAGGCTGGTCTCAAACTCCTGACCTCAAGTGATCTGCCTGCCTCGGCCTCCCAAAGTGCTGGGATTACAGGTGTGAGCCACCACACCCAGTCAGAGTCAGTATTTTAAAGCATCTAAGTGCAAGTAGGTTTTCATTTATTTGTGGCTTTAAGGAAACTTAATTTAATCAAGCCAGATGATCCTCCTTTAAAAAATGACTAGCTTTGATAACTAAGTGTAAATAGAACCCAAATTCATTATTTGGTTGTTTTTGTTTTTTTGGGGTTTTTTGTTTGTTTGTTTGTTTGTTTGAGACAGGGTCTTGCTCTGTCACCCAAGCTGAAGTGCAGTGGCACAATCATGGCTCACTGCAGCATCGACCTCCCAGGCTCAAGTGATTCTCTCACCTGAGCCTCCCAAGTAGCCGAGACTACGGGAGTGCACCACCACACCTGGCTAATTTCTGTATTCTTTTTTGTAGAGACAGGGTTTTGTCATGTTACCCAGGCAGGTCTTGAACTCCTGGACTCAAGCACTCCATCTGCCTCATGTTCCCAAAGTGCTGGGATTACAGGCATGAGCCATGCACCTGGCCCTAAAAATATTCTTTTCTTACTGAACATTAGCTGCTTCCAGTGTACTAGAAGTAGATTGCCAAACCTTTTGGCCCAAAGCAAATTGTAAAGACATTTAGCTAGGGATGCAAAAACATCTAAGACTCAAGGTCCAGTGAAGCAGGCATAAATAACATAATAAATAAAGAGAAGCATCCTGATTCCAAAACTTGCATCTAACAACCAACTCCCAGGGAAATGTAGTTCTCATGATTACAAATTCAATTATCACCAAAATGACATGAAATATCAATGCTAGAAGGAAAGCTTCATTCATCATTCCTTATCCTACCCACCCCATAAATCTACTACCAGGTCTGTGAAATCAGGATCTGTGGCTTGGGCCTCAGTCTCTGCCAGTCTGGGTAGTTTTGGGGATGGGGAAAAGGAAGTATGGCTGAGTCCCTAAGGAGAAAGCAAGCCAGCATAATCACAGTCCATGATGCTTGTGGGAGCACTGAGCCTGTACAGTTTCCTGTGCTCCAGTTGTCTTGGTAACCTGAGGCCTCCTTATTTGTGTTGGCATCATGGGGCCAAAAGCGGAAGCAAAGCTGGAACACCAGGAAGACTTGCAGGAGAAAAAAATGTAGATAATGCAGCAGTTATGCCACAGGAGGGTCAAGCCTAGGGCAGAATTACCTGGTTGGGGGTGGGAAGGTAGTGTCTTGTAAAAATCAGATCTCTGGGTTCTACCTTCAGCGTTTCTGATTCAGTAGGTCTAGGATAAGCTCAGGAACCTGCAATTTTAAGAAGCTACCACCTACCAAGTAAGTCAAAGACCACACTTTTAAAATTCCAGCTACAAATCAGCAGTTGGGAAGAGAAAGTATAACCATTTAATCAATTTCAAAAAGCTGATATTCTAGTACAGTAATTCTATACACTGGAGTAGAGGGTATATTTTGTCTTCCAGGAACATTTGGCAGGATTTGGAGACATTTTGGTTGTCACATCTGAGATAATATCATTGGCATCTACTGAGCAGATGCTAAGCATCCTACGATGCACAGGACAGCCCCCCACAACAAAGGATTATCCTCCAAAATGTTAACAGTGTCACTGAGAAACTCTATTCATGAGGATATTCTGCTCTCCCAACAATGGCCCCCCACCCCGCCCATCAGCCCCAATCCATTGGAAATCAGTGCTACACAGTTTAGGTCACAATGCAGAGACTTATGCGAGATCCCCTGAAAAACTTTTGAGACCCCAGAAATCTTTTTTAAAATGGTGAATTTCATTAAAGAGATAGAAAAGGAGAAGATTAGAACTGACAATAAAGGAAAGTAAGTATGGGCAACAAGGGTGAACCAAAAAAGGGATCAAAGGAGGCTGAGGCGCTGAGTGACAGCAGCGGGAAATCAATGCTGCCCCTCAGTGGACGCAGCCCATTTGTAAAGAGATGATAAACCCATGAAAAATAACAGGCACAAAAAATGAAAAAAAAAAAAAAGGAAAAATGAATAAAGGAACTGTGTAGAAATAGCTTTAGGATTCATCAAGTGTAGATCTGGATGAAAAAAGGACATTAGAGATTCTTCTACAAAAGGATGCTTAAATAAAAATTCTCCAGCAAAGACGACAGGACTTCTAGAAGGAGATCAATAATTATATCAGAAAGGAAAAAAATTTTAAGTATTTACAACCCTCTACTCCTAATCACCCCCAAGATAGGTGGGTCCAGAAAAATGCACCTTGGTTTTACTGAGGAGAGATCATGAGAGGGAAGGGAAAGTGGAGAAGCAATTTCAGTTTCATAGCAAAGAATTCTTTTTTTTTTTTTTTTTTTTTTTTTTTTTTTTTGGAGACAGGGTCTCCCTCTGTCACCCAGGCTGGAGTGCAGTGCAGTGATGCAATCTCGGCTCACTGGAGCCTCAGCCTCCCAGGTTCCAGTGATTCTCCCATCCCAGCCTCCAGAGTAGCTGGGATTACAGGAACGCGCCACCACACCCAGCTAATTTTTGTATTTTTAGAGACAGGGTTTCACCATGTTGGCCAGGCTGGTCTCAAACTCCTGGTCTCAAGCAATCTGCCTGCCTCGGCCTCCCCAAATGTTGGGATTACAGGTGTGAGCCACTGTGCCCAGTCCATCATCTATTGTCTGTAATAATTTAGAAATCTGGCACCAGGATTATGAAATTCACTATACAGTGTGTGGCATAACACCAAGCTTAAATGGTCACTCAGTGGACTTCACAATAATGGCCACTTTATGCTTCTGGATGCAAAACGTTGGGAGAGTTTGAAGTGGATATGAATTTGAGAATGCGTTTTCTTGTAGGAAAAGTAATGGAAACATAAGCATCTTTTTCTAATCACAGGAAAGGTTAAGGCTTTGGTGAAAGCAAGCATAACTGAGTTTAAAAACAGTCTAGAATAAGAAAAGGGTAATAGAAGAGGAAGGAAGGCAGAAGTGGACCATGCAGAATAAACAATCAAGCCTAGCTTTTTTAAAAACCTGAGGTCTTACTAAAGAGAAAGGAGGAAAAACGGAAGATTTCAACATAAGAGTGTTAAAGGTGGAAAAGAGCCAGAAAGGACTGTGGGCTTAAAAAAAAAAAATCAGTGAAGCAGTAGTGGTGTATGTTGGCAAAGAGAAGTGTAGAGTTGAGAGGAGGGAGAGAATTTATAGTAGAGGAAGTCGGTGTGAAGTTTTCCTCTCAAGATGCCCAGCAGAGCAAAGAAGGAATGAAGGCAAAGGCCACTGGGAATAGAGTAGGGCTGGGGCTAAAACAGCACGGGAGAGTGCAACAGGGCCCAAAGTAAGACATTTTCTTTTCTTTTCTTTTTTTTTTCATTAATTGACCCAGATTTGCTTGTTTGGGACCAAAGGCAATGCAGAGTTTAGGGATCTTTATAATTTATAAAGTAATCACCTTTGGCCCAACATAACACAGATCATAAGGATCATGGCAGAATTCGTCTCTGAGACAAGTACAAAATACCATTTTAGAGTTGATTTTAGAAGAGAAGTCAGACTAATAAATTGCTGTGTTGTAGAAATACTATGGTGAATTAAACAGCTTTAACTTTTTCTATCAGCCACAGGATAAATACAGAAACTGTATAATTACATACACATCCACAGAAGATAGTAGCCTCATATGCTAAAATTGTGAGTTGTTTGTCTGTATACTGTAGTCCAAAGCTCCCATTCCAAGAAATGTTTTATTTGGTTCAAAATATAAAGGGCAGGTTAGAGGGCTACACAGAAAAAAGGCTAAAAATAAAGACAGTAAAATGAGGGAGAGGAAAAGTGGAAGTGCAGCACTACTGATCCAGAAAAACTGAGGCATCAGCCACAAAGAATTCAATCAAGTCAGTGAGGGGCAAATGGCACAAAAGCCAAACAAGAAAAAGGCTGAATACCATATTACCAATCTGAGAGCCTCACTTTTGGTTTTAAGTCAAATATTGAATTAGATTGTGCAACTTTTCTATTTTTATTTTTTTATTTTTAAAAATCCACCAAAATTACTTAAATCATTTGACAGAGTCATACAATTTTAAATGACTATAAAAATGTGCAGATCAGTGCCAAATTTTTTGGCAAAGGCTGAATGGCAGACAGTAATCCAAGACGCAGACAACCTTGCTTTTAAGCCATCCGTTACACAGAGACCAGCAGGCTCCCTTCTACCTGTGAGACCAAATAATCCCAAAATGTAACCAAATAATCATAACTCCCCCTACTCCTAAAACCTACCCTTCACCCTTCACTGTCTACGTCAGCCTCTGGACAGACCTGATGCCTGGGGTTTGGCCATTTCCGCCTTCCCACCCTGTGTTGGTCTCCCTCCTCCCTCCTCAGGTCCCTCAGTTCTCCCAGGCCTAACTTGGCGTGCTTCCTTCCTCTCTCACCCCAATCAATCCGGCTCTCCTTCCCTTTCTGGGTTACGCCACCTGCCCGACTCCCGGTTTCCCCCTCGGGGGCCCCTCCTTGCCCTGGGGTCTGCTCTCGGCCCGCCAAGTTCTCCCAGGGGATCCCTCCCCACCTGCCTCCATACAGTCAGACTGTGTTCAGTGTCCGTTTCGCGCCCGTAGCGACACCACGACAGAAGCCCACTAAGTGACCCTCTGCTCCCAGAAACCCTCCTGGCTCCTCCAGACCCTCCGGGGCTCTGGCCCGCAGCTCCCCTCTCCCTCCGGCGGCGGGGGTCGGCTGTGACTCACCAGAGGGCCAGCGGCCGGGGTTGGGGTGGGGGGGCCGGAATGCTCTCACTTCCTCTCCGCGCACCTGCCCCGAGGCTGGAGCGCCGCCCGGCCGGGCCTCCGGCGGATGTTTTCCTTGTTCCCAAGCGTGTAGTGCGCGCCAGCCGCCCCCTCCGGGACCTGCGCGCCAGCCACCGCGCCCCCAGGACCCAGCGGGCCTGGTCCTCACCACTCACCCCCTCCCCAGCAGGCACGCATGCGGGCTCGACCCACACCTCTGCACCGCCCCCCAACTTCTGGGAGAGGACTCCTGGCTCAGCCCAGCCTCTAGCTTTCCAGAAGCCCCTATATGCCTACCTCATCTTCGTTATAGGCGATGAACCTTCACTTCTGTCCCCGTTTCCGCACACGCACCAATCCCCACTGGCGATCCCTTCCCCTTCGGCATCACCCCCACCTTCATGCGCCCCAGCTCCCCACTCACATCCGCCCCCTATTGGGCTGGCTCTAGCTTGCAAGAGCAGAAGGTGGCCCAGGGCCCAGCCTTCCAGGATGTCCCCTGGACCCCCTCTCTGGGAAAGGCGGCAGAGCTACTGGCCACTGACAAGACCTTTGGGCCCTCGTGCTAGACAGGCCTTCGAATCCACCTGCTCCAGCCCAGAGAGCAGGCCCAGGCCGTGCCTCCCACACCGCAGCCGACCTCAGAGCACCCTGCCTCAACTGTGAGTTTTTTCTTGGCAATCCTCTGAAACGGAAAGGGTATCAGTCCTGACTAGGGCGAACGTGAGGTCCATTCTGCATCTCCATCCACCTTAGCTGTCTCCTTGGAAAAGGACAGCAAGGGAGTTTGAGGTGCACTGACACAGTCATTTCTGAACAGTGAAGAGATGACAGGTAGGGTGGTCCCCCTTGAAAAGTCAGCCAGAAGTAGCTGTATCTGATGCACTAGGTGGCAGGGAGTGAGTCTTGGAGTAAATGGGACTGAAAACGTAGAAAAACCAAATAAATGCCAAAGAGACTATCCCTATGGAGAATACCTAGAACATGGGTCTTTGAAGTGTGGAAAAATGAAAGAAATCCAATTTGACCAGGGCCTTTAGTGCCAAAGAGATGGCTAGCAGGAGAGTGGTGAGAAAGGAGAACTGGAGAGTTCACATGAGCGGAAATAGGAAGAAATGGATCCAAATCCAAGTGAGAAAAAGCAGGAGACTTAAAGTTAGCCTGGCAGGATGATGAGAAAAGGACATCTTGTCCTAGGGTAGAGGCGAGGGTGCAGATCTGGGGGAAGAAGGCTTATTGGGAACAGTTTCTCAAACTAGACATTCAGAAGTCAATACAAGGGCCAAAACCAAAATGTTCCTGGAGGTACCTGTTTTTGAAAGAGGTGGGAAAGGTGACATGGATTAGGGGTCTCCATCCCCCAGGCCACAGGCCAGTACCAGTCTGTGGCCTGTTAGGAAGCGGGAGCACAAAGCAGGAGGTGGGCGGCAGGCGAGTGAGCATTACCGCCTGAGCTCCTCCTCCTGGCAGATCAGCAGAGGCATTAGATTCTCACAGGAGTGCAAACCCCACTGTGAACTCCGCATGCAAGGGATCTAGATTGCACACTCCTTATGAGAATCTAATGCCTGATGATCTGAGATGAAACAGTTTCATCCCAAAATCATCTCCCCGCTGCTATCCCCCTCCATCCACTGGTGGAAAAATTGTTTTCCACAAAACCGGTCCCTGGTACCAAAAAGGTTGGGGACTGCTGACAAGGAGTATGAGTGTGAAAGGTGCAGAGGTCTATGCCAGGAGACAGCCATCCCCAATAGAAGCCCTCAGCTATGCACAAACTGCTTAATGTCATTCAAAGAAAATAATGTCGCCCATTTTGCCTCAGAGCTTTAGCCCCAATCACAGCAACTGCTATTTCCTGACGCTTACGCACCAGAGATGGTGATAAGAGCACTGCACGCATTATCTCAGTAATCCTCATAACAGCCCAATGAGTTGGCATTACTATCCCCAATTTATAGATGAGGAAACAGGCTCAGAGAGGTGAAGTAATCTGACCAGGTTACATAGCTAAGTGGAGTCAGGATCTGAATCCAAGAAGACTGTCTCTACAGCCCATGCTCTCAATAATCCATCCTGGGCTCCTCCAGAACCTGTGGGAAACTCAGAGGATGCCAAATGATAAATTCCTAAAAACCTCACTCCATTATATATGGGAGGAAAGAGAGGACACCTCTGTGAACCTGGAGTGATTCATCCCATCAGGGCACTTAGAGATGCTCCTCTTTGAAAGGGGAAAGAACCATCCCCAGATGTGGGGTGATCCCACATCTGCTGTATGTTTGAAGGTGATAAGCAATGGACAGTTCACCTCTGGAATGCCTGAGGAAAAGAGACCCTCCCCACCATCTCTGAGGGGCAGCCCTATTTCTTGGATACATTAGGGAAACCCTGCCCTAGGATCTGAGGGAAACACAGTCTCCACTCCAGGTGCCTGCTCACTCTCCTGGAGCTTCTGGCCGTCGCACCCTATTGCAGCTCCTGGGTTTGGCTGGGGCACAGGATTAACCATCCCCAGGAAATGCCTCCCTCCGGTCCAGGCAGGGATCCCAGCATACACACCCCTGGTGGTGGCAGTGGGGGAGAAAGGGGGAAGGTGGAATGCTTCCTTCTCTCCAGGTCAGGGAAGAGATCTGGGGACCACCTGGGGGCCCTCGCCCCTCCTGCCTCCTTGCTGGGGAAGTGCCCAGTCCAGTGCCCCCTCCATGGCCACCTCCCTCCCTCTAGCTGTGCCGGGGCATGAATCAGCTCTCACAGCTTGTTAAAGCTAGACCTCTTGTTTTCATGCCCTCACCTCAGGAAACAGAGTTACAACTTTTCCAGCTCTACTCAGCAGGGGGCCAGGGTCCTCACTTTATAAACATCCCCAGCCTGTGAGAGCAGAGGGCAGGGAGATAGTGTGAGACAGGAGCCCAGGGGAGAAAGACAGAAACTAAGACTCAAGGAGCAACGCAAAGCAAAGTCAAGGAGTCAAGACCAGAGTAGCTGAGCAGAGGCCAAGAAGGGTCTGAGAGGGCTGTGCAGCAGCAATGGCCCTAAGGATGCTCTGGGCTGGACAGGCCAAGGGGATCCTAGGAGGCTGGGGGATCATCTGCTTGGTGATGTCTCTACTCCTCCAGCACCCAGGAGTCTACAGCAAGTGCTACTTCCAAGCTCAAGGTAAAGTGGGGTGAAGCGTTAGGAATGGAGGAGCAGCAGAGAGGGCACAGGGAGGATGGGGCCTTACAGATGATCCCGTGTCAAAATACCCAGGCTTCCTCCAGCTGTGAAACAGGAAAGACAAACTAAATACGGGGATAGTGCGTACTTACTGTCTCCACCCCAGACCAGAAGAGCCTCTGCCTCTCATCAGCACTCCTACACCTACTAACATTTCCCGTTCTTCCCTAGCCCCCTGTCACTATGAGGGGAAATATTTTACCCTGGGTGAGTCTTGGCTCCGCAAGGACTGTTTCCATTGCACCTGTCTGCATCCTGTTGGCGTGGGCTGCTGTGACACGTGAGTGACCAAAGATGGCCAGAGAGAATGACTCTGATATGAGTGACTGAGGGATGACCAGGGAGTGACTAGATTGCTGTGATGTAAGAATGAACAGAAGAGCAATACAAGATGGGCCAAACCTGAAGGGACCAACACTAGTGTGAAAGATAAGGCTTCAGGCTATAAATCAGGGGAGGTTGGGGTGGACCTGGAGAGAAAATACTCCTGTTATAAAACAAAAAGGCCCACATATGGTAGGTGACAGCTTAGTTAGGAGGACCAAGGGGCCACTGAAAGGGGCTCTGTGGGGGGAAAACTGTGAGAGAGGGAACATGTGGGCAGGGATAAAGGCAGCCTTTCACTGTGCTGACTCCTTCCCCTATCCTTGGTTCCCCAGGTCCCAGCATCCCATCGACTTCCCGGCTGGGTGTGAGGTACGTCAGGAGGCAGGAACCTGCCAGTTCTCCTTGGTGCAAAAATCTGACCCTCGGCTGCCCTGCAAAGGGGGAGGGCCTGACCCAGAATGGGGCTCAGCCAACACCCCTGTTCCTGGGGCTCCTGCTCCCCACTCCAGCTAAACTCAACTGATCATCCATCTGCTGACTGCTCACTGCTGCTGCCACTTCCAGGGAAACCACTAGCAGCTGCCAATGTATTCTGAACAAATAAATTAATGCTATAGCTGAAAGCCCGACTCTCACTGTCCACGACATTGGACCCCAGGTGGAAAAAGTGGGTCCCATTAGAGTCCAGGTGCTGAGTTCTCAGTATCCGGAAGGAACTAGCACCAGGGTGGGCCAGTTTCAGATGGTTATGGTGCTGGTGCTGGGGCCTGGGGCAGCATATGAGGCCAGGGTGGGGCTAGTAGGCAGCACCTTGATGGGCAGGTCCCAGCTGAAGGTGTCTACAGGTACTTGCTCAGGTCCTGTCCAGGTGGTAGGTTCGGGCTGTTCCACAGGGGGTAGGAGTACCAATCCTGGTTCTCGGGACGTTACAAATTCAAAATGCAATCTCCACTTCAAGGACACTATGGAAGAAAAAGATTAAGGTAGAAGCATCAGAAGCTAGCAGGAGTAAAAGCCAATGACAGGATATAGTTAGTGAATGAGAAGAAAACAATCTGTGTTCAGGAAGACAGGGAAAAGTCACAGGGCAGGGAGCTGTGATTAAGGGTTTTTCTGAAGCAATGGGTACTACCACAGATGTGAGCTGAAGATAGCAGTATTAAGTACCTAATAACCTAAGAGTGAGGCAGTCAAGTCTAGGTAGCATGAAGTAATCAAAAATCAGTGTATCACAGGGTCCTAGTAGGTAGGTGTGGGGAAGGAGTTCTATCAAGCTGTTAGGAGTTTAGGGGTCAGTGCATCTAAGAAACAGGAAGAGGTTGAAGGTCTGAGAAACTGTTCCGGGTCAGAGGCTAGACGTGGGTATGTCTGGGAGTGTGTATAAGGAATCAGGATCCATTACACCCTCCCTTAGCACAGCATTTTACTGTCCCCCTCTCCCTTCTCCAGTAACAGTGAGGGTCTCACCAATGGCTGTACAGAAGCCTGGGGTGGAGCTGAGAGGGATTGGGAGGGAGAAGCTGGTTCTAGTTGTATGTAGGCAGGATTCCTGGTGCCGGGCGTGAGTCACATGTGACACAGAGGGGACACCCCCTGCCCCACGTCGCCGCTGGTACTCAGGCTGTACACGCTCCTCGGTCTGTAAGCTGACTGAAAACTGGGAGCAAGAGACAGGTGTGTGCTAACAGGAAGTGCTGTCTGTAGGTGAGAGGACAGCCCAACCTCAAGCTGTTTTACAAAGGGACCCTGGATGACCCCACTATCCCCTTCTACATGCCACCCCTCTTTATACAGGCCTTCCACCCTAGCCCTTCAACCCCAGCACCCCAGCAGGTAAGAAGCTCTGCTCCCTTCTTACCTGCAAACAAGCTACGGTTCCTTCCCCTAAGTTTAAGGTCCCCACCACGTCCTCGCCAAGTCTGTACACAGATTTGAAGATGCCAAACGTCCCAACTTTCCCTCGGCCATCACTGATATTGTATAGATCTGGGGAGAATAGGACACTATAAGCCTGGAGTCTACATACTGGATAACGTCTAGGACTGGGCACCACAGGCCAAAAGATGGGGCTTTTCTTTAAAATTGGAGGTGTCAGGTATCAGTGGATCCACAGAAGTGTGTGGTGGTTAGGAGACTGTCTCTGAGATGGGAAAACAATGAGGGGAAGGATGGGGTAGGACAATTCTGAAAGAATTCTCACGGAGGCTGCGGCAGGATGTGGCAGCCATTAGGCGTTCCCCAGCCAGCTCAGCTAGCCATGAATCTTTCTTCCCACCTTCATCCTCCTCCAAGAATGGACTGGATGGGGCTACAGCCTCATCCTGGGGAAACCGGACATCCTGAAGGCCTAGAGAAAGAATGAGTGGAGAGGTAATGCTGAGAGGGAACGGAGATGAGAGTAGAGGTTAGGGTTTTAGATTCTAACATGAGATGGCTAAAGGTAAGGGGTGCCAGGGCTGAGGTTTACATCTCTATCTCCAGAACCCTCCCTCCCTTCCCAACTCCCTAGCACTGTCACTGAGACCAGGAAGTTTCCCTGCAGTCCCTCTTGCAAGCCCTCTAAGACAATTTCTGCTTTGGCATCGCCCTTCCCCAGCCCTTCCCTCCAGGAGCCCTTGCTTACCAGTCAGCACAAGAACCCTCAGAGGGACTCTGAGTAAAGTGATAGGGGAGTTGACACGCTGGCAGCCAATGGTCAGTTTGTAGACGTACTTGACTGACTGACCCCGAAAGGAGGGTGGTCCCTCTATGGGCAGCACTTCACTGTAGGAGTCTGGTTGGGAAGTAGTTGTCAGGACAGCCAGAGGCACCAGAGGAGTCCTCCCTCCAGGAGACTTAGAAGGCAATTCAGGGATGGGGACAATCACTCACATGATTTGGACTCTCCAGGATCAAGCCTCAGGTCACAGAATAGAATTTTCGGTGGAGTAGAAAGGATACACTGGCCCCTCTCACCTGAAAAAGGTAAAAATGACTAATTTAATGACCCATTGTCCAGTACTGAACAAGACTAGCACGGCAAGTGGAGATAGTGAAAGGCTGCCAGGCCCTCCGTCCCTGCTGTGAAATGGGAATAGTCTTCTACCCCTAAAGCAATAGTCATGCTCCCCAACATCCCCAGCATGACAGGGACTATAAGAACAAGAACAATTAACAACTTCACCCATGGGTGACAATGCCTCCACACACACCCTCCGCACCCCCCCTCTCCCAGGCAAATGCCCCTCTCTAACCTCGGTGTGGCAGAAAGACAGTCTGGCTGTCGGGCTGGACATCTGGCTGACTAGAGTCAGGAGGAGGCAGTGCTACTCGACTCTCACTGGCATGGAACTGGCAGTGGATTTGGGCACTGGCCCAGGCCAGGGCCTCACTGTGGGAAAAGGAAAAGGAGGCATCAGAGGTAGTTCCTGACCTCACAAATGCTTTCCCAAGCTCCCTATCACACCATCTTAACCAACAAGGTTAGATGGCTGTCCTAGTGATCAGGAAATCCACAATCCCAAAGAGAAACCATTAAATAAAGAGTAGCAGACTGTGCGTAAAAAGGGGAACGGGGGAGGGGAAGGAAAGCGTACAGCTATGTCATCCACATCTTCTGTTAAAGAGCCCTCTCCTACAATGACAGCACAGTGAGCAAGAGGAGGTGGTGTCGCTACAGGACAACCTGAGCTCTGCCTCAGCCCCAGAGATAATCTGGCTTCTTCCCAGAAGGGCCACCACCTTCAGTGCCAGCATCCCCACCTGGATGCAGAAGTGGCCGTGGGCGGAAGGGGGTTGGTGACGGTCACTACACACTCCAGCGCCTCCCCAGCCAAAAATACAGGACCCCGGCTGAGCTCTGCTACCACTTCAATCATGGCAGCTCCGGAATCAGATCTAGAAGGAAACAAGGCGGGGCGGAGGTCAGCACCTTGACAGGGAGGGGCGTTGCGGTGAGCACCTAGGGCTGAGGGCTGAGGACAGGGGTGGTCAGCACCGTGGTGCCCGAGGGAGCTCCTGGATATAGGAGGGGTAGGCGGGTGGGAGGGAGGCGACTGAAGACTCAGTACTGCCCAGGGGGAGGACATCGCTCTGGGCCCTAGACCCCAGCCCCTGTGCGACGGGTTCTTCTCCCTGGGCACCCCCGCGGAGTTCCCAAACTGGCCTCCGCTCCCCCTTTCCTCAAAGTTCCACGTCCCAGCCCAAGATCACCGCCGCTAGTCACCTCGCATAGTCGACACTAGGGATCGGCACCCCTAGGCCTCATCTGCCCGCCCCTCAGGGACCTGGCTAGGTACGCGGCGGCGGCGGCGGCGGCGGCGTCCGCTGGGCGGTAGAGGCGGGACTTCCCTTCGGTCCCCCACCCTCCGCGGAGTCCCTTCCGGCCGGAAGCGCCCGGCAGGCCAGACCGGAAAGGGCTCGGGTCATCCCGGCGCCCAGGGTCACCTTCCCACGGGCTGGCACCTGGGCGCGGGCGCTGCCCCGGAGCCGGCCGGCGGGACCTGGCGCCCAATCCTGGGGGACCCGGTGCCGTGGCCCAGGGGCCGGGCCGAGGTCCCGGGGGCGGTGCCTTGCGGGCCCGTCCCGGGGCGGTGCCTGGTGGGCTGGCCCCGCGGCTCCTCCCCTCTCTGCGGGCCCAGTCGCCCTTTGGCCGGGCGAGCTAATCGTCGGCTCAATGACGACGAGGCCCGACCCTTCCCGTCCAGGACCTACAGAGACAACCGAAGGAGAGCCCAAGGCGGCTTCTTTGCTGTCGCCGCCCCCACTGAAGCAAGAGCTCCCCGGCTCCACTGAAACACCAGCTCATTTAAGCTTTCCCCAACGCCCGGCCCTCCGGGACGATACCTAACAACGACCGGCGCCCGCATCTGGAATAGGCTGGCGAGATACTTAGTATCCGAGGGCTCGGGACTTGGCGCCATCGAGGTCATGGGGACCCAGGATCCAGGGAACATGGGAACCGGCGTCCCAGCCTCGGAGCAGATAAGCTGTGCCAAAGAGGATCCACAAGTTTATTGCCCTGAAGAGACTGGCGGCACCAAGGATGTGCAGGTTACAGACTGTAAGAGTCCCGAAGACAGCCGACCCCCAAAAGAGACGGACTGCTGCAATCCGGAGGACTCTGGGCAGCTGATGGTTTCCTATGAGGGTAAAGCTATGGGCTACCAGGTGCCTCCCTTTGGCTGGCGCATCTGTCTGGCTCATGAGTTTACAGAGAAGAGGAAACCCTTTCAAGCTAACAACGTCTCCCTAAGCAACATGATAAAGCATATAGGCATGGGCTTGAGGTGAGTAGACCCCATTGCCTAGAATGCCTTTGGCTTCACTTTGTTCCAGCTCAAAACTTCTAGCAGAGGTGGGAAAGGGCAAGAAAGCAGTTGGGCTTCTTGTCTGAGTGAAGCGGTCCCTATCCCTGGCATATTTTAGGCCTGTGGTTTTGGACCGTGAGACCAGGTCACATCTCTTTGCAACACCCTTCCCTCCCAGTGTTTTGTCTTTTCAGAAGGAAAGGGTAGGAACATTTGGTCATGCAATCAGCCTTTCCCATTCAGGCTCTTCTCACATACTGGTTTCCAATGACTTCCCTTTGGGATTAGCTATACTTTGTGGCAAGGTAGGAAAGGATAATCTGGCTGCTGTGATACTAACACAATGTTGTTTTATTTGGGGGTGGGGGGGTCTCAACCCCTTATTTCCCACAAGCAGCTGGGGCATTCTCTGTACCTCATTAGACACACTGTTAGAGTCCCAACACTACTGCTTCTTTCTTCAAGCTTTAGCTCCAGGGAGTAGGTAAGAAGAGCCTCCCTGCCCTCACCTCTGAAGTGATGAGAAGGTGCTGTCATTCTGTTCTGGGATAGAGAGCTCTTGATATTAAGTCATTTATCAGAGAGGCACTGCCATAGATGTAGAACCCATCTAGATCCCCACTGAGTTCAAAGACTAGTGATGAGGAGCCAGACCCATTAACAGGAACAGGTGGATGTGAGGACAGAAAGCATCACCCTGAGGTCATCCTGACTCAGTCTACACAATACACACAGAACTGTGGAGGGAGGCATAAAGCTTGGGAAACCCTGCCCTTACAGTTTCTAGAGTAGGAGACCCTTCATTTCCCCAGTCAGTGCTGTGGGGCTGTGATGGGGAGATCAGTTATCTAACCCTAGCCCTGGGGAGTGGGAAGGGCCTGATGCTGCCTGCACATCTGGCTTTGTTGGTGCCTGTGGGTAGCCTGTAGCAGAGAAGAATCATCCCTCCAGGCTGCTTCTGGAATCAATTCAGTCCAAGTTTGACCCCAAAAGTTTTTGCATCAAAATAGGATCTAGTGTACATAGAGAAGTACACTGAGTTGCATGTGGTAGGAACAATGAGATCAAGAAAAGATGGGCATCCTAGCCTCTTAGCCCTTAAATATGAACTGAGTCATAGAGGCCTGAAGCTGTGCTCAACCCCCTGGACCCTGGCTCCCCATTCCAGGATAGAGTGGGGGGTACTGATACAAGGCTTTTGGAATAGGATGAGTTCCTATGAGGAGAAAGCACAGGTGAGACAAGAATTCTAAGTGATAACTCTTGAGTTGAGGTTGAAATTGTGGAGAAGGCCAAATAGGTCAGGAATGGCCAGCTACCATATTAAGGGAGTAAGAGAGCTCCTAAGATGGAGCTGAACTGTGGGCACTCTGACCAGGAGCTCTAGCAAGACAGAATTCTCTGGGTCTTACCTTCGTAAGAACTCAATTTCAATTGTTCTCCCTTCCAGCCAGAGTCCACTCATTCAATAAATATTTATTGAGTGCTTGTTCCATGCCAGATAGTCCTTTGTTCTGTCTGTCCTCATAGATTGCAGTTACTCTCCCTGGTTGCCCTAATCCTCGGCCACACCCTCCCTCTACCAGTCCTTTCTGGTCTCTAGTTTCAAAGTCCGGTTTTCTCTAAGCTGGCAGAGAGGATTCTCTGCCTTCCTGTCATCCCATCCTTTGTCTTCCCTCTTCTTTCCACCCCTAGAATGTGCTGTCCCTTTTTATTTTATTATTATTTTTTTTTTGAGACAGTCTTGCTCTTGTCACCCAGGCTGGAGTACAATGGTGCAATCTCAGCTCAGTGCAACCTCCGTCTCCTGGGTTCAAGCGATTCTCCTGCCTCAGCCTCCTGAGTAGCTGGGATTGCAGGTGCCTGCCACCACAGCTGGCTAATGTTTTTGTATTTTTAGTAGAGACGGGGTTTCACCACATTGGCCAGGCTGGTCTTGAACTCCTGACCTCACGTGATCCGCCCACCTCGGCCTCTCAAAGTGCTGGGATTACAGGTGTGAGCCACCGTGCCTGGCCGCTGTCCCTATTCATTAATCACATTTCTTCTCCTCTGCTCCAGTCTGTTATCTCTCTTGTGCCCCATCATTTGTATGTTCATTCATCTGTAAAATTGGCAAATATGCATTGACTGCAGACCATATGTCCTACCCTGTGCTTGGACCTGAGGGTAATATTCAGCTAGTCTTTGTCATTGTCCCTTTCCCCAAGGAACTTAAAAGTATGTCAGCCTCACATGAGGAACATTGAAATAACAAGGCAATGTCTGATTAGGAATTGAGATAACAGTTTGTATATATGAGTAATAATCATACCTGTACTTTATGGCTTTCTTATCTATTATGTCATTTGATCTTTCAACCATTTCATTAGATAGCTAGAGCAGGTGGTATCCCCATTTTGTAGATGAGGAAACTGGGACTTAGGGGTTACTTACCCAATTATTTGGTTAGAAGTGGTGTGACTGAACAGTAGGCATAATGTGGCAGTAGGCAGGAGAGTGGAAATGGGAAAGAGTCTGGCAGGGCAGGGGCTACTTAGTGAGGACCCATCTGGAATGAGAATTTGTAGGAAATAAGATTAGAAGATAGGCTGGGACAGATGTCAGAGCCTTGAAAACAGAATCGTTTGCCTATTGAAAACAGCCTCAATCATTTGCCTCTTGGATATAGGGCTGTACCAAGCCCAGGAAAATGTTGGGATTTTTTGAAGGCTTTACCAAGAGCAAAATCAGAAAGCTTCACAGTTTAAATGTTGAATTTAAAAAAAAAAAAAAAAAAGGCTTGAGAGGAAATGTCCAGAAATAAATATAAACACTGATTGTCTATGGGTGAGATTATTTTTTTCCCCCTTTCACCTTTCATAATTAGAAAGAAAAATGATCATTTTAAAAAGAAGAAAGGCCAGAAGCGGTAGCTCACGCCTCTAATCCCAGCACTTTGGGAGGCCGAGGCGGGCGGATCACCTGAGGTCAGGAGTTCAAGACCAGCCTGGCTAACATGGTGAAACCCCATCTCTACTAAAAACACAAAAAAATGTGCCAGGCATGGTGGCGGGCACCTGTAATCCCAGCTACTTGGGAGGCTGAGGCAGAAGAATTTCTTGAACTTGGGAGGCGGAGTTTGCAGTGAGCCAAGACCGAGCCACTGCACTCCAGCCTGGACAACAAGGAACGAAACTCTGTCTCAAAAAAAAAATAATAAATAATAAAAATAAAGATAAGAAAGTTATTCCCAGCAGCCTATGCCTGTTTTGGAGGTAGGGGATTGGGGGCGGAGGCTGTAGGCCAGGAAACCATAAATGGTCCTTTCAGCACGTCAGACAGAAGCTCCTGATGTTGGAAATAAAGCAGTGGTGGTGGTGCTAGAGAGGTAAGGAGAGATCAGAAAGCCCCTTCTGAGGAGAACAAAGGAGAGAAACAAAGCCACTCCTTCACTTCAGCTGGGGTGACTGGGAAGATGAAGGGACCTTGAACTGTATAGAAATCAAGAGGAAGAAAGGTTTGAAAGCAGATGTCCTTGGGACATTTAATGGGAGGTCACAGAGAGAGGCAGGTGACTCAGCCTGTGAACAGCTGCCCACCTGCCCCCTTCCACTCACATTGCCTCTTGCTCCTCAGGTACCTGCAGTGGTGGTACCGGAAGACCCATGTGGAAAAGAAGACACCTTTCATCGACATGATCAATTCTGTACCCCTAAGACAGATTTATGGTGAGCCCCACCCCATCTCTGCTCTGCTCAGAGAAGGCCTAGCCTCCAGGTCTACCACAGTTAGGAAGAGACTTCCAGCTTATGCAAATTGCACTGTTCCATCCCCTAGGTTTTCAGAGGAACCAGGCTTTATAGTCTAGAAAGTTAGAAATGGGCTTATTTTCCTCTCCCAATACCCCACTAACCACCCTGATTTCTCTAGGTTGTCCCTTGGGTGGCATCGGGGGAGGCACTATTACCCGTGGCTGGAGAGGCCAGTTCTGTCGTTGGCAGCTTAACCCTGGAATGTATCAGCACCGGACAGTCATCGCTGACCAAGTAAGAGCCAGGAGGTGGAGAGGCCAGGACAATACCTCCCCAGGCCAAGAAGGAAGGACCTCTTGGCTAGTGTAGAAGGTAGCAGTTAGATGTGAATAAGATTCAATCTAATAAGTACTCTCGGGATGCTTCCTGTGTGCCCAGCCCTGAGCTAGGATATACCGTAGGAATAAGACACACACAAGCACACATTCCTTGAAAGAGTAAACAGATCTGGCATTTCTCTAGTAAATGCCTCCTGTCTACCTCACTGCCCCAACCCAACTAGCTGAGGCAGCCCCCAACCACAGAGAATGCAGAGAATTCCCAAATCACTTAACCTGCCTGAAAGAACATTTTGTAGGACTGGAAGGGAAAAGAAAACCCAAAGTCTATAAACTCATGGGAAAAAAAGACACGTAGTACAAGGTTCCTCACCCTGATTGAGGAACCTTCACCAAAGTTCAGCTCCTCTGCTGATCACTCCCCTGGAGGTCTCCTGGCTTAGGGTCTAAAAAGCTCCTTCTCTCCCAGGCTTAGATCTCTAGCCTTCTTCCCTCTTCTGAAGCTTCACTTTTTTCCTTTTGCTCCTGCATCACATCTGGGCCTTAAATTGCCAGAAGTATGTGTCCTGCCTCTCATCATCTCTCTCTAGTTGACCGCCCCTTTAGAGTTGCCTAGGAAGTTCCTCTTTCTTGGCTCCAGCATTCAGCCTCATCTTCAAAGGAAAAATGACTAGCAAATCTTTAGTCCAATTAATGACAATACCCTTCCTGGTTCACGTTTACCAGCCCTGCCCATGTCCCAAGATCCCTCTCTGCCTCATCCCTTAGGTATCCTGAGGGGAATGGCTTCCAGAATTGTGACTCTACAATTAAAGTAATTATTGCATGCTTAACATGTGCTAGACACTGTGCTAGGCTCTTTGTATACTGTTTAATATTAAAAACAATCCTACAAGGGAAGTACCACTATTATGCTCATTTTGCAGATGAGGACACTAAGATCCAGAGAGGTTTAGTAACATGCGCAAGGTCACAAGGTTGGTAAATGGAAAGGTTGGGATTCAGAACCATTTCTTTCTGGGGTGAAGAGCTTGTGGTCTTAACCATTATGTACCATTCCAACAAAATGAAAAATTATTTTATACAGTTGTCCCTCAGTATCCATGGGGGGTTGGGCCCAGGACCTGCTATCCGAGGATGCTCAAGTCTTTGATTTGAAATGGCTTATAGTATTTGCAAATAACCATTGCACATCCTCCTATATACTTTAAATCATCTGTAGATTACTTATAATACCTCATACATTGTTACATAAACCCTTGTTGTGCCGTACAGTAAATAAAGTGTGTACATATTCGGTACAGACACAACTTTTTTTCCACATATTTTAGATTTGGTTGGTTGAATCCACTGATGTGGAACTCACAGATATGGAGAGCCCACTGTATACAATAAAAATATTTGACATAGTTTGAACCAGGGAAAGGGATATTAATCCCTCATAGCTCCTACCCTCCAAGAGCTAAAACTTTTTTTGAGAAAATAAGACTTAGGGGAAATGGAGACTGTGAGACCACATCAGTGCTAAAAGGAGAGGGGTGGATAGTATACTGTGGAAAAAGGGACGGTGCTGCAGATTTCGCTCATTCCCTCCACATACATGCCAACTCTGAAGAAGGGTGCATCAGTGAATTAAAAAATGTCCCTACCCTCAGAAGAATCCATACAGCAGTCAGGGACACAGAATGGTCAGTCAATACATTATAACATAATACACCAAATGCTAGAATAGAAGGGGAGGGGGGCACACATAATGACTCACTGCTGGAAGAAGTAGAGGAGGAAGAGATGGCTTTTGACCTAGGCTTTGAAGGATGAGAGGTTTCACCAGATAGCGAACAAGCATGAGCACAGGCATGGAGGAGAGAATGTAGTGTGCTCAAGGAACAGTGAGTGTTTTTATATGAACAGACTATAGGTGCTTGAACAGGTGATGAGTCTGATGGGCAGGGAGAGGCCAGCTCAAGAAGGGCCTTGAAAGCCAGGCAAGAGTTGAGACTTTAGCCTGAGGGCCATGGGGAGTCACTGAAACATCCTAACCAAGGACTGACATATCTTGATTTGCCTGTGAGAAAGATCACTCTGCTACCCAGATGAAAAGGGCCACAGAAAAAGCAGGAGATTGGGCTTAAGTGAGGTGCTAACACCACCGTAGTGGAGAAGGGAGAGAAAGCTTGGGAGATAGATGGATGGGGAGGTAGCAGGACTTGGTGATTCACTGAGCCTGGGGGATGACTTGAAGCTGATGGTGCAGTGGTAACAGTTGCAGGCTCTGAAAGGGGAGGAGCTGATTTGAGGAGAGGGAAGACTTAGTCTGTGGTCCCTGTGGTTTACCCCGTTCCAGCCTATCTGCCCTCTTAAGTTCACAGTGTGCCTGCGTCGGGAAGGGCAGACTGTGTACCAGCAAGTCCTGTCCCTGGAGCGCCCAAGTGTCCTCCGCAGCTGGAACTGGGGCCTGTGTGGGTACTTTGCTTTCTACCATGCCCTCTATCCCCGAGCCTGGACTGTCTATCAGCTTCCTGGCCAGAATGTCACCCTCACCTGCCGTCAGATCACACCCATCTTGCCCCATGACTACCAGGTGAGGCCCCCACATCTGTATCTTCCATTGCCCTCCCTTCCCCAGGACCTGCCTCTGCTAGAAACTGCATGGCCTGCGAGGCGCGGTAGCTCACGCCTGTAATCCCAACACTTTGGGAGGCCAAGGCAGGCGGATCATGAGATCAGGAGATCGAGACCATCCTGGCTAACACGTGAAACCCCATATCTACTAAAAATACAAAAAAAAAAATTAGCTGGGCGTTGTGGCAGGCACCTGTAGTCCCAGCTACTCGGGAGGCTGAGGCAGGATAATGGTGTGAACCCGGGAGGCGGAGCTTGCAGTGAGCCGAGATTGCGCCACCGCACCCCCCAAAAAAAAAAAAAAAGAAACTGCATGGCCTGTGAAAGGGAGGTTGGAGCCATGAACATCACAC
This sequence comes from Homo sapiens, assembly GCF_000001405.40. Taxonomy (NCBI): domain Eukaryota; kingdom Metazoa; phylum Chordata; class Mammalia; order Primates; family Hominidae; genus Homo; species Homo sapiens. The sequence continues at coordinate 35,741,277 of NC_000009.12, read as the reverse complement.
TGGCTTCCCAGAACCACCGCCCAACTGGTTCTGGTCTTCTATATTCCCTGCTAGGCAGCTTGCCTGGGAATATGGGGAGATGCAAGTGGACAAAAGAAGAGTACACTGGGGAGTATTTGAGTCAGGTCCTCTGTGTGCCCAGGACTGATCCTAGCAGAGTGGGGTCAGGAGGCGCTCTACTGGGACCGTCTGAGTCTAATCTTCTGCCCCCAGGACAGCAGCCTGCCTGTAGGAGTCTTTGTGTGGGATGTGGAAAATGAAGGGGACGAAGCTCTAGATGTGTCCATCATGTTCTCCATGCGGAATGGACTGGGTGGTGGAGACGATGCCCCAGGGGGTTTGTGGAATGAGCCCTTCTGTCTGGAGCGTAGCGGGGAAACTGTCCGGGGGCTGCTCCTGCATCATCCAACCCTTCCAAACCCCTACACGATGGCTGTGGCTGCACGAGTCACGGTAAGGAAAGAGCCTGCCCTATACCTTAGCCCCTGAACCCCACCTCCACCCCAGCATGGTCTCTTCATCCACCCTCATCATACTCCTGTAAGCCCCTGGGCCTGGGAGGTTAAGAGTAAGTAAGAGGAGCTGGGGAGCTAGCCGGGACCCAGTGTACTCGTGGAGCCTGCCCTCACAGTCCCTGACCCCTTCACAGGCAGCTACCACGGTAACCCACATCACAGCCTTTGACCCTGACAGCACGGGGCAGCAGGTGTGGCAGGATCTACTTCAGGATGGACAGCTGGACTCTCCCACTGGTGATGGGGGGTCTGACTGGGAGATGGTGGGAAGAGAGGTTGTCCCTGTCTTGGGACCAGGGGTGGGAGGCCTGGTAATAAGTAGGCCTTGTTTCCATGTTAGGGATCCCTATCCCTGGGGCTGAAGGGGCTCCTGTCCTGAATTCTCTTGTGTTTCTCTCAGGCCAAAGCACCCCTACGCAGAAAGGAGTAGGCATTGCTGGAGCTGTGTGTGTTTCCAGCAAGTTGCGACCTCGAGGCCAGTGCCGCCTGGAGTTTTCACTGGCTTGGGACATGCCCAGGATCATGTTTGGAGCTAAAGGCCAAGTCCACTACAGGTGAGGGGACCAAGAAAGTGTAAGGATCCAGAGTGCTGGGGCTCTGACCTGGGGCTTGTGTTCATCCTTCCCCTTCCCACCCCAGGCGGTATACAAGGTTCTTTGGCCAGGATGGAGATGCAGCACCTGCCCTCAGCCACTATGCACTGTGCCGATACGCAGAGTGGGAAGAGAGGATCTCAGCTTGGCAGAGCCCGGTATTGGATGACAGGTGCCAGTGGGGCCCATTTCTTGCCTTTCTCCTGGGCACTCACTCCAAATGGGACTCCTCGATTTACTCTCCACCCACCAAAGTCAGTAGACTTGCACTGGGATTCATTTGATGATCCCACTCTGCTGAACCCCCAAATCCTTTCCATCTTGGGAGGTACATGTTCCTTAAACCATTTCCTCCTCCTCGCTTCCCAGATCACTGCCTGCCTGGTACAAATCTGCGCTGTTCAATGAACTATACTTCCTGGCTGATGGAGGCACAGTGTGGCTGGAAGTTCTTGAGGACTCCCTACCAGAGGAGCTGGGCAGAAACATGTGTCACCTCCGCCCCACCCTACGGGACTACGGTCGATTTGGCTACCTTGAGGGTACAGGATGCTGGTGGGCTGGGATATGGCAGGCCATCCCCAAGTCAGGATGATGGATTTGCCTACCCCAGGGTATTGGTTAGGATGAGGGGGTGTTGGGTGTGGACTAGTAACAATGCCCCACCTCTAAATCTAGAGGACAAGCTACAGAGGGGTTTGAAGGGGAAGCAGGAATTCTGGCAACAGTGTGTCTCATTCATTCCTCCAGGCCAGGAGTACCGCATGTACAACACATATGATGTCCACTTTTATGCTTCCTTTGCCCTCATCATGCTCTGGCCCAAACTTGAGCTCAGCCTACAGTATGACATGGGTGAGGATCCCTTTTGTGCCGCTTCTGCCCTCTTGGCTCCCCATACCCCCGAACTTCTGTGGTCCCTCAGATTGTCTCTTCTTTCCCTTCCCTTCATACGTATCTGCATGCTGCTTACTGGTTCCCCACTGCAGTCACACACATAGCTGTGTGCCCCTCCTCAGGCATGCCCATTCCCTGCCTCCCTTCTGTGTCTCTCCCCCAGCTCTGGCCACTCTCAGGGAGGACCTGACACGGCGACGGTACCTGATGAGTGGGGTGATGGCACCTGTGAAAAGGAGGAACGTCATCCCCCATGATATTGGGGACCCAGGTAAAAGTCCACCCCAAGGTCAGCTTCCCTCCCTCAACTTTTGCACCCTCTACCCTATCCACCAATGCAAGTGACCCAAGTCCCCTCCTCTCCCACAGATGATGAACCATGGCTCCGCGTCAATGCATATTTAATCCATGATACTGCTGATTGGAAGGACCTGAACCTGAAGTTTGTGCTGCAGGTTTATCGGGACTATTACCTCACGGGTGATCAAAACTTCCTGAAGGACATGTGGCCTGTGTGTCTAGTAAGGGATGCACATGCAGTGGCCAGTGTGCCAGGGGTATGGTTGGTGTCTGGGAAGAGCCTAGCTGGTTGTTGCCTTTCCTCGGTACCTAGGTCTTCAACATCTTGGTCCCTCTCTAGGCTGTGATGGAATCTGAAATGAAGTTTGACAAGGACCATGATGGACTCATTGAAAATGGAGGCTATGCAGACCAGACCTATGATGGATGGGTGACCACAGGCCCCAGGTTAGCGGGTAGGGGTTTCCAGGAGGCCTGAGGTGAGAAACTGGGCAACAAGGGATTGTAGGGCTCAAGAAAGAATGACTCATTGTCTATTACACGGCATGGGAGCAGCTGGAGCTGCCAGTCTGACCCCCAAACCCATGTCCCTGATCAGTGCTTACTGTGGAGGGCTGTGGCTGGCAGCTGTGGCTGTGATGGTCCAGATGGCTGCTCTGTGTGGGGCACAGGACATCCAGGATAAGTTTTCTTCTATCCTCAGCCGGGGCCAAGAAGCCTATGAGAGACTGCTGTGGAATGGTGAGTTCGGGGAGCCTAAGTAGTCTTAAGGCAGCTGAGAGGACACCAGGAGCCTTATTTTTCTCTTCCTCGACTCCAGGCCGCTATTACAACTATGACAGCAGCTCTCGGCCTCAGTCTCGTAGTGTTATGTCTGACCAGTGTGCTGGACAGTGGTTCCTGAAGGCCTGTGGCCTAGGAGAAGGAGACACTGAGGTGAGAGAGGAGGAGGAGCAGCCAGAGAGAAAAATGGGTTTTCCCTGGAGGTGGGAAGTAAGTATATGAGACCATGTTCCTGCCCTTGCCCCTCCAGGTGTTTCCTACCCAACATGTGGTCCGTGCTCTCCAAACTATCTTTGAGCTGAACGTCCAGGCCTTTGCAGGAGGGGCCATGGGGGCTGTGAATGGGATGCAGCCCCATGGTGTCCCTGATAAATCCAGTGTGCAGTCTGATGAAGTCTGGGTGGGTGTGGTCTACGGGCTGGCAGCTACCATGATCCAAGAGGTAATGCACTCCTTTTCCCATCTCTCCACCATCTGTATCCTGGCCCAGAAAACTTCCTCAACCACCAAATTTCTTCAAGGCATAACCCAATGCCATCTTGTCCGTCTATAAAGCCTCCCATTTTTCCCTGGTATGCATTCCAGCTCCTGCCTTCAGGCTTCTGTCTGTGGGTCATAGTTATCTCCTCCACTTGCTGGGAGCTCCTTGAAGGCAAAGACTCTACTGCCTCCATCTATCCAGTGGAAGTGGCTCTTCAGAGGGTGCCAAGTTAGTATGTATGACTGTCATCTCTCCCAACAGGGCCTGACTTGGGAGGGCTTCCAGACAGCTGAAGGCTGCTACCGTACCGTGTGGGAGCGCCTGGGTCTGGCCTTCCAGACCCCAGAGGCATACTGCCAGCAGCGAGTGTTCCGCTCACTGGCCTACATGCGGCCACTGAGCATATGGGCCATGCAGCTAGCCCTGCAACAGCAGCAGCACAAAAAGGCCTCCTGGCCAAAAGTCAAACAGGGCACAGGACTAAGGACAGGGCCTATGTTTGGACCAAAGGAAGCCATGGCAAACCTGAGCCCAGAGTGAGCCGTCTGAACTGTGGGAGGGAAGTGCTAACAGCCCAGCCTCCAGCCTGGCCTTTCCTCCTTCCCCTCTGAACCTCCTGCAACCCTGAGCCATCAGGACAATCATACCCCTTCCCTTCTCTCCACCCAATTGTGCCAGTAAATGGGGGTTGAGGGTGACCTAGGCAGCATTAGAATCACTTATTTATTTCTTTCCTCACCTGTTCCCTGACTGCGTGAAATGTTCAGGGAGGTCAGTTGATTTCCCCAGGTACATTCATGGTGTGACAGACACATGGGTACAAATAAAAGACCCAGAAAGCCATTAAGTGTGGTGTGTTTGAGCCCTCAGTCGTCCTGACAGGGCACAGGAGCTGCGGCCAGCCCTTGCCCACCGCTTTTTATTTGGACACAGATGGGGAGCCCCCCAGGCTCCTGCTGAGACCCCCCACATATCCTCATATCTAGCCTGAGTATCTGTCCTGCAAAATGACAGAGGGGCTACCAGTAGGAAGCCATCCTCCCTTCCTTGTGAGATTTGCCTGCAGGGGGAGGATGGGACCTCGGCAGAGAGGCTCTGAGAAGAGGTCAGGGAATGGCCACTCCAGGGGAGGCTCTGCACTGGGAGCCTGAGGCATGTAATGCAGCAGGCAGGAAGTGTTGCCAGGGGCCTGGAGTACACAGTCTGAGCCGTCCAACCACTGGTGTGTGCTGTCTTTCGGCACTTCTGACTGCAGGGCAGGCAGCTCCAGCTGGTAAGGGTCCTCACTGGGGAGGGCACGAAGCTGGCGGGACAACACTGAGGAGACAAAGAATCTTCAGAGGCCAACCCAGACCTCTCCCCTTGCCCTGTCTGAGAGCTATCCTTAAGCCTCTTACCTCCATGCTCAGCTGGCAGGCTCCCCCTTGTGTCAGAGGAGTACATAGCAGGTACAAGGAGGAGGCAGAAGGAGACTAGTAGGACCTAGAGCACAGGAAAAAGGAGATGAAGAAGGGCTCTGGATTGCCCTGTCCCCACCAACTGAGAAAAGGATTTCTCCCCTCATCACCATCCTCACCAAGATGCAGGTGCTGCTGCTGCTGGTTTTGTTTGATATCTCAATCACCATGGCCTGGAGTTTCCTCAGTTGATCTAGAAGGGACCTAGAGGAAGAGAGGGGCCAATAGTGAGCATCCCCTGGCCTAGCATCCTGAGACACAGTGAAACTCCTGTTCAGGCCACCTCCTCCATCTCTGCACTGGATCCTCTCTCTTACTTTTCATTCTATTTTTGCAAACGACTTCTTCCTCTCTGGACAAAATGCCTGAAGTTCCTCATTAAAACAACAACAACAACAAAAAGCAAAAACAAAACAAAACAAAAAAACTCTGCCAGGACTTAACCTCCTTTGCGAATATCATCAGTCGTTCCCCACTGTCTGATCAGCTATGCACATAATCCTCACCAGGCATTTTCTATGTTCTCTACCTTCTGTCCCAGCTCATGTGTGTTAAGAGTTCCAGCCCAAGATGACTATGCTGGACTAGTCCTCTTGCCTAGGATGCTTTCTCTCTGCCTAGAATGCTTTCCCAACCCAACCCCAGAATCCTAACTACTATGAAAGCCCATGACGTCTTTCTTACCCCCTTTCTTTTTCTTGGTACTTAACTTATTCTTAGTTACTTGTAAATGTATTCCTCACTACTGGGAGCTTCTTGGAATCAGAGACCTAGTGAAGGCAGCTGCCCAGTTAGAAATCAAGTGTAGGGCAGGGGAAAGAGTGAGAAAGCATTAAATGAGGGGCATAGGAAGGGAATGGTTTGGAGGGATACTTACAAATTCTGTTCCTCCAGAAGCTGTACTTTGTTCTGAAGCTCCATATTCTGGGCTGTGTATTTCAAGACCCTGGGGGAAATAACAAAGATACGGGGATATGGCCTGTATCCTCCCTTCAAAAACCTAATACTTACAACAGAGTCCCTCTCCCTTTCATACCTGCTCTCTAAACCCCCAACATACACCTTCTTTTTCCTGCGGCTCTCTTGAGCAGATCTTTTATTTCGAATCTTCCTCCGCACACGTTTCAGAATTTGTTCCTCTGTCTGAAAGGAAACAGGGAAAGGGATATCATTAGAGGAACTCTAGAAAAAGGAGTTGAAACGCAACTGAGATCAATCTCTTTCCAATACAGAAATCCCTTCTACAGCTTCCCTGACCAACAGGCATTCAGATTCTTTCTGAATGCCTCCACGGACCAGGTGTTAACCCTAACAAGCCAGACCATTTTAAACTATTAAAAAAAAAACTGGTCGGGCAGTATTCAGGCGACGTGGCTCATGCCTGTAATCCCAACACTTTGGGGAGCTAAGACAGGAGGACCGGTTGAGCCCAGGAGTTTGAGACCAGCCTGAGCAACATAGTGAGACCTTGTCTCTACTAAAAATAAAAAATTAGCCGGGTGTGGTGGCACATGCCTGTGGTCCCTGCTACTCAGGAGACTGAGGAAGGAGGATCACTTGAGCCTGAGAGGTTGAAGCTGTAGTGAGCCATGATCTCGCCACTATTCTCCAACCTGGGCAATAAAGCAAGAACCTGTCTTCAAACAAGCAAATAAAAACTTCCTTATCCTGAACCAACAGCTGCCTCCTTATAATTTCTATCCGTTGGACTTACCTAGTATCTCTGGGGCCAAATAGAATAAACCCTGTTTAGCTATTTTAAGGCACTTAACATTTCCTCAGAGCTTAAAGAAAAAAAAAAAGACAAAATTTTTAACTCATCTTCTCAGGATAGACTGCATCCTCTTAGTATCTGTCAAAGATGTGCTCTAGCCAGTATCAAGGAAAGCAAGAGAGTGACTTGTAGAGACAATAACTCTATTGCTACAGTTTCCAAATCCCATGAACTTTCTTAGTAGCCACATCACACTGCTGACTCATCTTGTACTTTGAAGAAATTAAAATTCTTCACTTTGGGAGGCCAAGGTGGGTAGATCACTTGAGCCCAGGAGTTCGAGACCAGCCTGGCAACAAGGCAAAACCCCATTTCTACTAAAAATACCAAAAAAAAAATTGCCGGGCAGGGTAGTGTGCACCTGTAGTCTCAGCTACTCGGGAGGCTGAGGTGGGAGAATCACCTAAGCCCAGAAAGTCAAGGCTGCAGTGAGCCATGATCACATCAGTGCACTCCAGCCTGGGCAACAGAGCAAGACCTTGTCAAAAAATATATATATATTCCTGTAACCTTTCTATTAATGAGCACTGATTTCATCATAGTACCCCAGTACTCTGCTTGTGAAGTTGCCACTCATTGCTTAAAACTGAAAACTAAGGATTTTACATTTATTCATGTACTGCTTAGTCCAACCCTGTTGAACTCTCTAAACAGTTCTACCATTCAGCAAGAGGTGGATTACTATGAAGCCAACGAAGTGTCAAGGCCCTTCACTTACACAGTCCTTTCCAAGGCCCAATACTAATGTTGCACTGATAATTTTGAGTTATTTTTTTAACAGAACACCAAAATTTGTATAAGCCCAACAAAAACGAGGATCTGCCCTTGCATCTGGCATATTGTGTACCTGCCTCAACTTCCTATTAGCAATAAATCTACTAAGTTTCTCACCTCAATCCTTTTTTAAAGTTATTGATATAAAGTTAACAGAATTTGCCTACTTGGGACTTTTAATCCCTTTTCAGCCTTTGTTCAACCAATGAGAGTCTTACCTTAGTGAGAGGAAGTGTCTCAGGCAGAATAAGCCCCTCCTTCTCCAATAGACTCTTCTCCTCATCTGTCAGTACTAGCCTAGCAATCTCCTAGGGTAACAAGAAAGTGGACGGCAGTTGCATGGGGATGTCAGAGAGGAATGGGGAATCCTGCCCCCACCTGGGGAATGTGAGAGTAATCTCCTGAAAATCAAGTCAAGTACCTGCTCTGCCAGCTCCTCCATATGCTGTGGAGTCATCTGGGTCCCCTCTTTTCTACAGCTCTCACTCTCTGCAAAAGGGAAAGTATGAATAGCCAGGCCCATGAACCCTGTCCTCCCCGCAAACTTATTTCAGACTCACCTAGATCCATAGAGACAGTTTCCCGTGGGAGGGAGTAGGTGTGGTCATGGTGGACAAGGCAGGGGTTGGAGGAGCTGAGAATGTTCAACGACGCTGGGGGACTCAGCAGGGAGCACAGCAAATCATCTACTTCCCAGTCGCTCGGTACCTGCGCAGGGTTCCAATGAACAGGCCTTGACCTTATCACCATCACCTGACTTCATGGACATCCCACGCTTTCCCCAGTCAGAACCCCAACCTACCTCAGAAAGCGGCAGCGCCCAGTCCAGTGGGGCCCTCACGGCCTCATCGGGTGCCGTCCCCAAATCTCCACTTTCCTCTAGCAGGAAGGCCAGCAGGTCTTGGTCACCAGCATCCAATTCCAGCTCCATTTGGGACAACTACGGAAAGGGTGGGCCACCGGGCCCCAACGTCCGAAGCCCAGACACGAGCCCCAGGCCAGCTGTAGGCCTCGGGCACCTATCCACTGTCCCTCTACGGCCGGGATTCCCCGCCGGCGGCTTTCCATAGCCCTCTCCGGACCCGCCTCCCAGGCTCAATTCTCCTCAGCCTCCAACGCAGCGAAAGTGACGCACCCCACCCCGTGGCACTGTGGGACTTGGAGTTCCCTCCAACTGAGAAGAGGCTTGGGTGCAGCGCCACGTCCCAGGGGCTATGCAAATGTAGGGGACGGCCCTGCTGCCGCCTCGCACCCCGAGGGCGGGGGTTCCGGGGCTCCGGCTCCGCCTTCTACCCCAAGCTAGAAAAAGGAAGAGTTCTAGCCTGAAAGGGAACTCGGGCGTCGTCCTGGCGTCCTCTCCGGATTGCGCCGCACCCTCGCTTCCTGCCAGGGAGGGGCTGCCGGGCTTTGGCGGCTCCCGAGCATCGAGAACGGGGCCAGAGCAGCTTCCTGCCTGCCCCCCGCGACCATAGAGCGCGGGCCCAGGGCGCCGCCCGCGGGTGGGGGACGTTCCCAGGACGGAAGTGGCCGAGAGAGTGTCGAAGGGAGGGCGAGGCCGGAGCCCGAGGGCGACCCGAGAAGCGGCGGGGCGGCGGGCCGGCGGGCGGGGCGCAGAGCCAGGCAGCGCAGGTAGGCCAGACCGGGCCGGGCGGGGGCCTTAGGGTGGGGCCGCGGGGCCTGGCCCCGGGGCGGGCGGGCCCTGCCTCTCTTGCGTGTCCGGTTCGGGTCCTATTAGTTGGAGAGGTCAGCGTCCAGCGCATCTCGGCTTGAGCTCGGCGTGAAGTAGGCCGTCTTGGGGAAGACAGGCCTTTCCTGGGAGCAGTCCTATGTCTGGGATAGGCTTTGGGGAGCGTGAGGAGTCGGGTGGCAGCGGGGCGCAGGGCGGGGACGGGCTTTGGTGTTAGCTGATAGCGGGCATGTGGGTAGGAAAGCTTTGGGTGAGTTGGGGATTAGGTGGGGTCCGTTTAGGAATCAAGGGTCGCTATAGGAGTTAAAAGCTGGGGTTAAAACTTAAGAGTTAGTGTGAGTCAGGTCCGTTTTAGATAGGTAAGGTTTAGATTACGGTCATTATCTTGTTTGCTGGGATGGCCATCATACGTCATAATTTGAGTTCAGGGTCAGGTTAAGGGTCAACAAACAACAGGAATCAGGTTAGAGCTTGTTTGAGGGATTAAAGAATGTTGGCATGGTCGGTGTTAAGGATAAACAGTGAAAGCGTGAGTTAGGAATCAAATTATAAATGAACTTTAGGCTTAGGGGTCAACATTTAGGGTTAACATCAGGGGATTTGGTGCTAAAGGCAAAACTTAGATCAGTTTCAGGGATCAGGGATTGGATATGAGTCTGTGCTAGGAAAGGGATGAATGTCCAAGCCGGTACTGGGAATCAGGAAACAAATTAGAGGTGGGGTTAATGTTAGGAATTTGGGGCAGCTTTAGGGGTTGTGGTTTGAGGCTAGCATAGTTGACCTTGAGCAGATAAAATTTAAGAGGTTGGCAGTAGGTAAATGCCCTTCTTTTGTAGGGAAATCCTTTATTCCTATGTAGTTACAGGGGCTTCTTTTTACCCAGAGAGATAAACTAATTTCAGGCTAGCGTTCTGGCTTTAGCTAGAATTGCAGGCATCTGGGATTCCAGCTTCTTTATTCCATTCTCTAAGCCCAAGGCCCTTGCTGTGGCCACCACAGTTAGGGGACAGAGATTCTGGACTGTGTTGTTTACAGACAACATAGGTGGGAAATAGGGACCCAGGATGTACAAGGCCTAGTCACAAGTTGGGGACTGCCTAGGGAAGAAGGAGCTGATGACTATGGGGGAAGCTAACCAAGGAATCACTGTTGCCATGGGAGAAGGGAATAACTGAATCCCCTGAAAGTTTAGCCCTGCTTCTCCCACTTCACTTGTTCTCTTGGTATTAAGCCCTCCTCTCCAACTCTCATCCCTGACTCTGCATTTCACACCCATCCTGCCTATCCCCTTACAAAATACTTCCCTTGCCTTTAACTCTCCCATGCTCATCTTATCATCCGTTCCCATCCTTAGTTCTACCTCCCTCACCAACCTTTAATCCGCACATCCTACCTGAATTTACCCTCATCAAAACCTGAGCTTTCCCATCATTTTAAATTACTCTCCTACCATTTTCACCCAGTCATGTACCTACATTCCACCTGGTCATCTGCTGAATACCCTACTCCCATCCCCTGCTGTGTGTCACCCCCTGGATCTAAGCCTCTTTTAATTTCTTGGACCATTTGTAGATCCCCTTCCCCCACTCCCCAACAGAAAAGAGGAAACGAGACCCAAAGAGGAAACTGGGTCTTGCTGATCCCACGCCCAGCCAGGCCACTGACCACACCCCCACTTCACTCCCAGCCTGACCCTGCCACTGACCACAGCACTATCCTCTACTCAGCCTGACCCAGCCACTGGCTGTACCCCATCCCCCATCCCAGCTCCAGCTTTACTTAGACATTGCCAATGTCCCTTCACTTTCCCACCCCCACCCCAGTCTGATTTAGTGACTGACCACAGGCCCAGCTCTTCTCAACCTCCTATAGCCTGACCTGGCCTCTGACCTCACCCCATCATTCCCTGACTTAGCCACCATCCATGTAATCATTCCCCTTCCCCCAACCTGATGCAGTGACTGGTCATATATGTATCTTATGTATATGTATTTTTCCAAACACCATCATCACCAGCATTCTTTTTCTACACCCTGTCTTCTCATCCTTTTTCTACACCCTGTCTTCCCCATTCCCAGCCTGATGCAGTCACTAACCCAACCCCATCTGCCCCTAGTGGCTACTAATCATATACTCATACCCTTTTTCCCCACAGCCTAACCACATCCCGTAACCACAGCCTCATCCTCACATTCTCTGCCCAACCTGATCCTTTCCCCTCTTCCCAATTCGTCGCCTAAACTCAAGCTGCCCCAGCCGCTAAAGTGGCTGCTGATGATAGGAAGCTGTGGGACTCTAACCTGTCTACCTTAGTAGTTATTAGGTCCTGTCATTTCTACCTCCCCAAACTTGTTCTGAGTGACATCTTCCTCAATGCCATTCCAACTCCGGCTTCATTACCTTTAATTTGTACTAATACAGTGTCCTTCTAACTAATCTCCAAGGTAACTGCCAGAGTTATTTTTCTAAAATCCAGTTCCGGTTATGTCTCTTCTCTGCTCAAAGACTCCCTTGGCTTCCTTTTGTCCTCCAATAAGTAAAATTCCTCATACCCCTCTCCAGTCTTCCTCTGCCTTTCCATCCTAACCCTGACTTCCCCACCACTGCTCCCTTGCAGGTACCCCTGTGCTTCAACAGCCTGCCTGCTCACTTCCCTGAATGCTCCTCCACGATTTACTGCTTCTCCATCTTTGCTTATGCTATTTCTCTGCCTGGAGTGAAAACTACCCCTGACACATCTCCAGCTGGCTGGCGTAGTGGAGAAAGCTTGGGCTTTGCAGTCAGAAACCTGGGTTCGGATCCTGGCTTCACAACTTATTATTTGGAGAAGTATTTGAACAAGTATTTAACATCTTTGAGTCTGTTTTCTGATCTGTAAAAATGGAAATAATGACACCTACTGTAAGGATTAAATGAAATTATGTATACAATGCAAGTGACATAGTCAATAAATGGCAGATCACTATTGTTTTTTATTATCTCTATTTTTTAAAATTCTAGCTTCAAATGATACTTATCATGGAGACTTTTTGGTTCCCCTTCCCTGACCTAAAGGGATCTCTCTGAGCACACACCTTTTGGCTCTTACCACATCCTGCCCTCCGTTGTGATTCTGTACTTGGCTTATTCACTCATCTCGTGGACTGGGAGCCCTTTGAACTCAAAGGCTAGGTCTTACTGATCTTGGTCCCCAGCCACTGAAAGTTTGGCCCAGGGTCTTCCCCACAGCTGGCCCTCAAGGAATGCTTGCTGGGTGAATGGAGAATGTCTACATAATGGGAGGAGAGACACTGGGTGCCGGGTGTGCTTGTTATGGAGGTTATCTGTGCAAAAGCTGTGTGCATAGGATGGGCTCCCTAGGAGAAGATAATGCAGTCGTGATGGGATCTGTGTGGGGGCTGTGTGATTGAGATAATGTGTGTATAGAGAGAGTAAGGTAGCTTTGTGGGAAAGAGCTCTGCCTAGGCTGGGGTGCATCTGGGGAGAATGAGTGTGCATTTGAGTATGGAGGGGCTGTACCGGGGGAAGTTCTGTGCAGCCCTTCAGCTAGCTGCCCAGTCCAGCTCTAAATGAGTCTCCAGCAGCCTGAGGCCGGATATGTCAGTCTCACCCACAGCCCTCCCCCACTGCCAGCGGTTGCGGACTCAGAGGCCAAATTTGGTAACAGACTGAGTGTTACTCCCCCATCCCTCTTATATTCTGACTGTCTTAAGCTCTTTCCTTTTGTTCCTGTCTGTAACTCCCTATCTTTCTGCAATTCCCCTTGTGGGTATCTGCTCTGACTATATTCTCCAAGTACCCCAACTTTCTTAGCTCCAATACTCTTACATTCCATTCCTTGCTGGGATTTGACCTCCTGTCCTCCATTCCCCCCCTCCAATTGCCCAACTTCTTTGGAATGCATCGCAGGAATGTATTGAGGGAGGAGGAGTTCCCTGGGAGGGGGACACGGCAGTGGGGAGTTGCTGTTCCATCAAACACAATGGAAAAGGGAGCAAAGTTCTCAGGCCAAAGGAGGAATGAGCTAGCTTCTACTCATACTTGTAGCAGCCTTGTTCTTTGCCACCACCACCCACAATTCACTGATCAGTTCTTCGCGTCCACACACCCTCTTGTAGCTGTGTGAATATCCACTCTGGACCAGCTGGGGAGTAAGGGTAGGCATGACTCAGCTCCCTTATCGGGGTCTCACCAGAGGCTTCCGTGCTTGAGGAGGAAGGGGGTGTCTAAGTGTCCAGAGGAAATGGGGGGAGACATGCAGTTTCAGCTTAGTGTGAAGGGTCCTTTCAGTCCTGCTTCTTGGCTCCACAGACTCCTCCAGCTTCTCGGATCCACCAGCCCAGCCCTCATTCTTTCATGGTCAGCAACCCCATAGCCAGGTCTGTCCAGCTGGGACACAAGCGGATAGTAATAAGGTTGGGCAAAGTGCCCCAGGAGTGGGGAGGGGGCAGAGAGCTGGAACTGGGGAGACTGGGAGGGTCCTCTCTTATTGGGGAGTAAAGACAGAGAGCTGTGGTTCTTCTCTTTTGAGACTCTGGACTGCTTGTAAGGTCAGAAATGGTCTATCTGCCACTTGGTACCAGACCGCTGATCTAGACCATTTTCATACCTGCCTCCTGTCTCTTGTTTCTACTTAGATTTTCAATTCTCCTCATCCCATCTCTCCTAACTTCTTTACCCTCTACCCCTTCTTAACTTCCCTGGCTTTCAAATGCCTTCTGTATCCTAACACCCCCATCTCTGCTTTCCAGCCTTCCCCTCTCACCCTGCTTTTCCCCATTTGAGGCTTGTAGTTTGCCAGGAGGGGAATGGGCAGCTTGTATTTGCCCATTCTCTTAGTTAAGAGGCACCCAATCCCTGTACCAAGCAGGGGCACATCAGCAGCAGCCGGGCAGACTTGTCCTCTTGCAGCCTGTGCGCCACCTGCTGCCTCCAGTGCCTCCTCTAGCCTGCTGAGAGGGGGTGCCAGGAGGGTGGAAGAAGGTGGGGTAGGACTAGTATTCTGAGCTGCACTGAAAATACAGTCAGGGGAAGTGGGTGAGACAGAGCAGAATTCGAGACAGACTTGCTGAAGAGGAGAAAGCATGGGAGGAGTTGCAGGACTGAGTATTAACTTGATGACTTGGAACAAGCAAGGACTGAGTTACAGGGACTGGGTCCTTTCTCTGGCCTGTCTTGAAAATGTTTCCTGGCCTCCCAGAGTCTATTTCCCCTTCTCCAAAACACAAGAGTTGACCAGATAACTTCTGAGATAGATCCCTTTGAGTTAGAGAATCACATTTCTAGCTTGACTGCCTGGGAAGCCCAGTACAGGGCTAGGCTCCTTCAGAAGGCCCCCGCATCTCAGGTTAGAAAAAAGCTGGGGCAAGAGCGGACCCCTGAATGGCTTGAGCAACCAGTATTTGGTCTCCCTGCCAGGCTAGCTAGAGTTTGTTTGCAGGCTTCAAGAGCCTTAGGGAATTATAACATCTTCATTTTGCAGAGAAGGCAGCTAAAGCCATGAGAAGGAAGGTCACGTGGTGAGAAGAGAGCTCTGAAAATCCCGGACAGGGAAGAGCCAGCAGGACACAGCAGGAGACAAAGAGAGAAAAATACTGAACCAGGCAAAAATGAAAAGAAGGCAGGAGTAGGGCTGAGAAAGGTGATCAGGGACAAGGGGCAAGAGAGATACTTGGATGAAAGTAGGGAGGTACAAATTCCAGTGGTGGGGCAGGGCAGTGTCCTCAGGTAGCACTGCATTTCAGACCTGCTATTGTACCTTGCAGACCAGCTTCTCCTTTCCCTCAGATGTCTTAAATTGTTAGGACTTGGCCGGGCGTGGTGGCTCACGCCTGTAATCCCAGCACTTGGGGAGGCCAAGGTGGATCACGAGGTCAGGAGATCGAGACCATCCTGGCTAACATGGTGAAACCCCGTCTCTACTAAAAATACAAAAAATTAGCCAGGCATGGCAGCGGGCGCCTGTAGTCCCAGCTACTGGGGAGGCTGAGACAGGAGAATGGCGTGAATCCAGGAGGCGGAGCTTGCAGCGAGCTGAGATCGCACCACTGTACTCTAGCCTGGGCAACAGAACGAAACTCTGTCTCAAAAAAAAAAATTGTCAGGACTCATTCTTTTGATGTAAATAATTTTTCACTCTTTAAAATTATTAAATACAATGAAAACAACCTTATTACCATCTACTTTGGTGAGTCCCTTTCAAAAACACTCTTCCCTTGGACTCCACCATCTGGGGGGCCTCTTCTCCCACCAGAAGAGTGTATTCTAATGCCCTGATGCCATGGGTCAGGTATAGCCAGGCTGGAGAAAAGAAGCTGCCACCATGGTTGCACTTTCACTGAAGATCAGCATTGGGAATGTGGTGAAGACGATGCAGTTTGAGCCGTCTACCATGGTGTACGACGCCTGCCGCATCATTCGTGAGCGGATCCCAGAGGCCCCAGCTGGTCCTCGTGAGTCTGACTCCCCCGGTGGCTGGAGTGGGAGTCTTCAGTCCCTTCTTGTTCCCAGGCTCTCGGCCTTGAGAGTTGACCCCTTTGTCCCCTAAGACTACTCACCCCTCAGGTCTGTGTTCCATGGTTCCCTCGTTCTTTAGGCCCAAGGTCATGGGAGAAATAGTCAGGGGCAACATGGTACAAGCTGTTCAGCCACATTGGGGTCTTCATAAGCCTAAAGTGATCCATCCTCTCTTTTAGCCAGCGACTTTGGGCTCTTTCTGTCAGATGATGACCCCAAAAAGGGTATATGGCTGGAGGCTGGGAAAGCTTTGGACTACTACATGCTCCGAAATGGGGTAAGTATCCTTTCATCAAGGACCACCACATCCCCTTCCATCAGCTTCTCCCTGTTCCACCTCCTGTTTTCAGCACCCACATCTGTTGTCTCTTAGCCCTCCCCATGCTTTCTTCCTATTAACAGACAGTCATAATTCCCTGCTTTTGAACGAACCACCATAGTCTTCCTTTCAGTGCTCCACTCTCTCCCCTCGGGCTGTGTAAAGAGGAAATAATACCCCTAGCTCAGAGTAGGCCCCTGTCTCTTCTTCCTGCCCTAACAGGACACTATGGAGTACAGGAAGAAACAGAGACCCCTGAAGATCCGTATGCTGGATGGAACTGTGAAGACGATCATGGTGGATGACTCTAAGACTGTCACTGACATGCTCATGACCATCTGTGCCCGCATTGGTAAGGGGCCCTAGTACAGTTGAAAGCCTGGGCCAGAAAGCCTCAACTCTCTCAAAAGGCATGGATGCAGTACCTGGGAAGCTAACAAGCCATCTCCTTCCTCAGGCATCACCAATCATGATGAATATTCATTGGTTCGAGAGCTGATGGAAGAGAAAAAGGAGGAAATAACAGGGACCTTAAGAAAGGACAAGACATTGCTGCGAGATGAAAAGAAGATGGAGAAACTAAAGCAGAAATTGCACACAGATGATGAGTGTAAGCAGAACTAGAAAAAAGAGGGCTTTTGAAATGGGAAGGGTGGGAAGGGGCTTCAGCATCTGCTTCTGCCAGGCACTGTTTTACACCCTGGGGATACATCAGTGAGAAAACAAAGTCCTACACTCATGGGACTTACATTTAAGTGAGGGGAGGTAGGAAATGCAGAAATAAACAGAGACCAGACAGCACAGGGGCCATGGGGGTTTGGCACTGAGGGGACTGTCTGTATCCCAGTGAACTGGCTGGACCATGGTCGGACACTGAGGGAGCAGGGTGTAGAGGAGCACGAGACGCTGCTGCTGCGGAGGAAGTTCTTTTACTCAGACCAGAATGTGGATTCCCGGGACCCTGTACAGCTGAACCTCCTGTATGTGCAGGTATGCAGAGGACTTGGCTGGGGTGGGGCAGGAATAGGGAGGGCTCGGAAGCACAGTGTGCGTGTCCTTGCACCCACACACAACATTCGCCTCCTTGCCCTGTGCTCTCCAGGCACGAGATGACATCCTGAATGGCTCCCACCCTGTCTCCTTTGACAAGGCCTGTGAGTTTGCTGGCTTCCAATGCCAGATCCAGTTTGGGCCCCACAATGAGCAGAAGCACAAGGCTGGCTTCCTTGAGTGAGTGACCCACATCCTATACCCTGTCAGGGCCCAGGACTCCCTGCCATTGTGACCCCAGTGGGCCTGTCTCCATTCCAAGCCTGCCCCCCACTATTTCTTCTTCCGAGGTACCAGGGTTTGACCAACATAGCTACCCTTTTAGTTGCCATCATCCATTGTCTCTTCTCTGCCTCTGGAATATGAATGTAGTTCAGTATCTCTGCCCCTACCCCCATCTCTGAAGCAAGCATGTCACTCTTTTTTGAGATTATCTGAAGAATTTTGCTGCAGTAGCCAGAGGGAAACCGGGTAAAATTTTCCCTATAGGGAACATGGGTTAAAAGTCTCACAAGCCTCATCTGCTGGTGTTTCTTGGAATGCAGAGTTTGGCGTGGCTTTCTCAGCTTCCTAAGTGCATGTTCATCCTTCTAGAAAGCTCTTTCTCCTCTTGGTTCCCTGAAATGGTGCTCTAGACCCACTTTCCCTCAGGGACTGAGCCTCTAACTTAATTTTCCTCAGTCCCTTTCCCTACAGGGAGAGACACAGGTCACATTAAGAATTCATACTGGCCAGGCTCGGTGGCTCACACCTGTAATCCCAGCACTTTGGGAGGCCAGGGCGGGCAGATCACCTGAGGTCGGGAGTTCGAGACCAGCCTGACCAACGTGGAGAAACCATGTATCTCTACTAAAAATACAAAATTAGCCAGGCGTGGTGGCACATGCCTGTAATCCCAGCTACTCGGGAGGCTGAGGCAGGAGAATCACTTGAACCTGGGAGGTGGAGGTTTTGGTGAGCTGAGATCGTGCCATTGCACTCCAGCCTGGGCAACAAGAGTGAAACTCCATCTCAAAAAAAAAAAAGAAGAGTTTACACGAAGTCACCTCTATTTCAGAAGATAATCTAGACTCTATTCCCTCAGAGTCTTTTTTCTCCCCAAAGATAACACTGTCCTAGGTATTTCCTCATACCCCCAGGCCCACAGTTCATGGCCCACATGTCCCCTGATGCTGTCTACCACATGCTGACCCTCCCTTTTCTGGTGTAGCCTGAAGGACTTCCTGCCCAAGGAGTATGTGAAGCAGAAGGGAGAGCGTAAGATCTTCCAGGTGAATGTGGGTAGGGGAAAGTATTTGGGATGACCGCGGAGCTTTGCTGCTTAATCTTACTGACTAAATGGCCCCCTGCCTCCTCCCCGTCTCCCCTAACTTGGCTTTCACCCACCGGGCTGTTATCCCACCTCACCTCTGCCAAGAAAGCAGACAGCTTGGGCTTTTAGTCTCAGCTCCATCCCTGCTTTTGCTGTGCAATTCAGTTCAATATTCTTGTAATCTTTTATTTACCTCTGATTTGGGATAACAGTACTTGCCCCGTGTAGGACTGATAGGATCAAATGAGGTAGCATAATCTGAAATTACTGTGAAAGAGTATAGTCTTTGTCCACTATAAGGTGTTACCCCCACTCTGAATACTCAGCCCAGAAGGCCTTCTCTTTGCCCTTCTACTTCCAAACTCTCTGTTCATATCTCCAGAATGTCTGCAAGTTCCTTGACTGTATCCCTTGACTCATCGCTTCTGCATAGCCCTTATCAGCCTCCATCCCGTTACCCTCTCGTTCTCATATCTTGTACTCCTCAACCTTTCCAGTGTCCCCATAATTCTCTCTCGTTAGAGTTAGCATCCAACCTTAATTCCTTAGCTGTGATATGAAACTCTTTGCTAAATTCTTCCCCATTTTATGCACAGGCACACAAGAATTGTGGGCAGATGAGTGAGATTGAGGCCAAGGTCCGCTACGTGAAGCTAGCCCGTTCTCTCAAGACTTACGGTGTCTCCTTCTTCCTGGTGAAGGTAGGTTATGGGCCCTTTTCACTGCCCTCCTTGTTTCCCACTCTTGCCCTTTTCTGTCTCTGAAAGTCTCTGGCCTTGCCCTCAGTCACATCTCCCACCATTCCCTAAGATTCCCATTCTCTTCCTTGCTCTGACCTCATGAAAACCTGCCTGTCATCAGCCCTACACCACCACTTCCCTCCCTACCCTGCATTTTCCCTTGTCCGTTAGCCCTCCCGGCCACCTCAACATCCCCTATGGCTGCAAGCTGATCTGATCATTCACCTCTCATTTGACCTCTGACCTGTAACACCAACACCAACCTCTGCCTCATAGGAAAAAATGAAAGGGAAGAACAAGCTAGTGCCCAGGCTTCTGGGCATCACCAAGGAGTGTGTGATGCGAGTGGATGAGAAGACCAAGGAAGTGATCCAGGAGTGGAACCTCACCAACATCAAACGCTGGGCTGCGTCTCCCAAAAGCTTCACCCTGGTAAGTCTGGGGACTATAACAAGAAAGTGCTTTGGGAGTTTCATTAAAGGGGCAGCTGCAGAGGTCTCTTCCCTCTCTTGGGGTAAGTATACTGAGTATTACTCCAGAAAAAAAGGAGGTTAGAGTAGATGGAGAATCTTCCTCTGGGAGAGTGTGAGGCTTAAATGAAACGGATGATGGACTTATTCTTTAAAATCAGCAGAACAAAAATCTCATCAGCAAGCTGAGATCACAGGAATTCTTGTAGGTGTGGTGAAAGGAAAAATGTGATAACCTCCCTGTTTCAGCAGCAGCTATATACAGTGAATTTTTGACTTTATATTATAGGGTTATGAATTGAAAACTGATATCAACTTGATAAAGTACCCTAATGACACAAATACAAATTATAGGAAATGCTGTTTTTTCCCTTTTGGATACTACAGCCAACCTTAAAGTGTGGCCATTTTATGCCAAATATTATATCCTCTCAATTTTATCATCAGAGTAAAAATAAGAGACTTCCTAAATGATATGTATTTGAAACTGTGTAGTGTAGAGGCCACTCCTCAGAAGTAAAAAATTTCCCTCCAAGGAGAAAATAAAGAGGAGGTTCAAGAAAGGTGGGCATCTTCCAAGAGGGCCGTTGCCACGGGAAGGCATCTCATCAGCTCAACCTTGGGCCTCCCATCCTAGCCATTTCCATCCTGGATAGATTTGAGCTTTCCCTCTGAGTCCCCCACTTGTCACCCTAGGATTTTGGAGATTACCAAGATGGCTATTACTCAGTACAGACAACTGAAGGGGAGCAGATTGCACAGCTCATTGCCGGCTACATCGATATCATCCTGAAGAAGGTGAGCACTGCCTGCCCTAGCCTTCTCCTTATCGCCTCTTGCCCTCTCCACAAGCCAGTCCTTTAGAAATGGGCACTCAGATTGCTTGAACCTGGGAGGCGGAGGTTGCAATGAGCCGAGATCTTGCCTCTGCACTCCAGCCTGGGTGACAGAGCCCTTTCTTGTCAAAAAAAAAAAAAAAAGAAAAAGAAATGGACACTCAGCTTCTGGAAAATGGCTGGTTATGGAAAGAAGAGGCTGCCTTTTCTCCACTTCCCTCTTCTTTAACTATCCCAACTCTTGTTCCTTTTTCCTTCCTACAGAAAAAAAGCAAGGATCACTTTGGGCTGGAAGGAGATGAGGAGTCTACTATGCTGGAGGACTCAGTGTCCCCCAAAAAGTACGAAGGGAGTTGGGCTGATCCCATTTCCCAGGGGTAGAGAAGGCAAGGCCTGACTCTAAGGACTCTTGGGAGGTGGGGAGTCCTTAGAATGGTTCTTTAACTAGTTGCAGGCTGTAGTGAGACCTCACACACCTGCAAAGGTAGTGTAACCGGGTGGGACGGGTAGAGATGAGGAGTCCTCTGTGAGCTCAATAGTTCACCCCTCTACAGGTCAACAGTCCTGCAGCAGCAATACAACCGGGTGGGGAAAGTGGAGCATGGCTCTGTGGCCCTGCCTGCCATCATGCGCTCTGGAGCCTCTGGTCCTGAGAATTTCCAGGTGGGCAGCATGCCCCCTGCCCAGCAGCAGATTACCAGCGGCCAGATGCACCGAGGACACATGCCTCCTCTGGTAAGTGTCCCACTTCCACCACGGTGCCAGGGCCCTTCTCTCACCCTCAGCTGGGCCGAGCCAGGAGTTAGGCAGTCTTTTCCCAGGTCCCTATTTGTATTCTCTCCCTAGACCCTGGTTCTCTTTTACCTTCTCTTTTCTCCAAACATCCATTCCAGTCCCTGTTTCTCCCCACTTGTCTTTAGACTTCAGCCCAGCAGGCACTCACTGGAACCATTAACTCCAGCATGCAGGCCGTGCAGGCTGCCCAGGCCACCCTGGATGACTTTGACACTCTGCCGCCTCTTGGCCAGGATGCTGTAAGTATGGGATGGAGGAGAGGCCGGTGGTACTGAAGCTGAGACTCCAAGGGATAGGGATGAGGTGAACCAAACCAGGGCAGATCCTGAAGGCTTTTCCTCTCTCTTTCAGGCCTCTAAGGCCTGGCGTAAAAACAAGATGGATGAATCAAAGCATGAGATCCACTCTCAGGTAGATGCCATCACAGCTGGTACTGCGTCTGTGGTGAACCTGACAGCAGGTAGGCCGGATGCTAGCTTCCGGGTGTGTGATGGGGAGAGGGGGTGCAAGTGTGCACAGGCATGCATGTGACTGGCTTCATGTGTGACTGTGCCTTGACTCACTGTGGAAGGGACTGTGTGTGTGCGTCTTTCTGTGGACATGTGTGTGACTAACTGGGTGTGACTTTGCTCCCTCCCCAGCCCTTCGTCTGGCCTGCCCTGTCTCTCATGTTCCTCTTTCTCCTTTTCCCCTTAGGGGACCCTGCTGAGACAGACTATACCGCAGTGGGCTGTGCAGTCACCACAATCTCCTCCAACCTGACGGAGATGTCCCGTGGGGTGAAGCTGCTGGCTGCCTTGCTGGAGGACGAAGGCGGCAGTGGTCGGCCCCTGTTGCAGGCAGCAAAGGGCCTTGCGGGAGCAGTGTCAGAACTGCTGCGCAGTGCCCAACCAGCCAGTGCTGAGGTCAGGGGCCACAGGTTTGGGTTAGGGTGGAGACAGGGTTCAAGCCCAAGGAGAAGGGGCAGTCCAAGCCACAGGATGGAAGCCTGGGTCCCGTGGGCCTGTGATATGCACAGGCATGTGGGCAGGGATTGGGCAGCTTCTGACTGGTGTTCACTCTCCACAGCCCCGTCAGAACCTGCTGCAAGCAGCTGGGAACGTGGGCCAGGCCAGTGGGGAGCTGTTGCAACAAATTGGGGAAAGTGATACTGACCCCCACTTCCAGGTTGGTGACTTACCCAACCCCCCAGAACCCCAGAATCTAGGAAGTAACTTCTGCTCGTGAATCCAGTTCCTAGTCCTGGCTTCTGTGAATTGACCCCTAAAAACCAATCTGAACCTCTATTTCCAGGGGATGATACTAGTAACTTCTGATCTCTCTTTTAGGGGTTAGAATTCAGAACCCCTGAATCCAAACTTAACCTGCTAGTTTACTCTTGGCCCTCATTTATTCTTTAGCC
Source organism: Homo sapiens (assembly GCF_000001405.40). Classification (NCBI taxonomy): domain Eukaryota; kingdom Metazoa; phylum Chordata; class Mammalia; order Primates; family Hominidae; genus Homo; species Homo sapiens. The sequence continues at coordinate 35,718,576 of NC_000009.12, read as the reverse complement.
CCTTGTCATCTTTTCTCTCTCTTCCCCGTACATAGCCCTTGCCCCAATTTGAGGACCCCCCACAATGCTATAGACCATGCCACCCTGAGAATAGTGTTCCTCTAGCTCTCCCCCTTCCCGCTCCATGCCAATTTCCTCAGCTGACTTTTCACCCTGGATTTCCCATGCAGATATGTGCATCCAGAGGGGCTGGGGTTCGATCTCCCCCCGATTCCCCTACGGTAACAGCCTCTGGCCTGGGCCTTCCCAGCTTTGTCCTCTCTGAGCCGCATACACTCGTTTCTGTACTTCTTCCTCAGCCTCCTGGGGGACCAGAACTTGGTGGGAGATGAGGAGGCCTGGCGAAGCCAGGCTTTGGGAAATGGGATCAGGTAGGGTAGTACAGGGACTTGCTCCCAAGACTCCAGGATGACCACTTCCAATCCAAGATCAAGAAGTGGAGTAAAGAAGCTGGGGGTGGAGGGATCCCAGGAGATACCTCCTACCTCCTCTCCCCACCCCATTGTAACAGCGCCACCACATTGTCTCCCCGTCATCATCGAGTGTATCCGCCTCATGTGTGTCTCCATTTGGTGTAGGCTGTATTTTCTCTTGGTGTGGGTTTGTTCCTCGGTGGGGGTTCTGTCCTGCTGGGTGCTCAGGGCAGTAGCTCGGGGTAGGTTCTGGTTGCTTCTGCGTACACTCTCCTTTGATTGGATCAGTGGGAATAATGAAGCAGCTTACGCCTCTGAGAAGTGTCTGTGAATCCCAAGCCCAATCTCAGGTCATGCTAACTGCTGTTTTCTCACAGGATGCGCTAATGCAGCTCGCCAAAGCTGTGGCAAGTGCTGCAGCTGCCCTGGTCCTCAAGGCCAAGAGTGTGGCCCAGCGGACAGAGGACTCGGGACTTCAGACCCAAGTTATTGCTGCAGCAACACAGTGTGCCCTATCCACTTCCCAACTAGTGGCCTGTACTAAGGTGAGCCCCAAAGGTTGCTCTAGTCCGTGCTGAGGGGTAATACTACCACACACACGTGAGCCTTTCATTTTATTTCTTTGGCTCTGGAGGCCTCCTCACCCATCCCAGTTACTGCTATGAGCAGCATACTCTACCTCCTTTCCCTTGCCTACGTCTCTGACATTCACTTTACCTACAGGTGGTGGCACCTACAATCAGCTCACCTGTCTGCCAAGAGCAACTGGTGGAGGCTGGACGACTGGTAGCCAAAGCCGTGGAGGGCTGTGTGTCTGCCTCCCAGGCAGCTACAGAGGATGGGCAACTGTTGCGAGGGGTAGGAGCAGCAGCCACAGCTGTCACCCAGGCCCTAAATGAGCTGCTGCAGCATGTGAAAGCCCATGCCACAGGGGCTGGGCCTGCTGGCCGTTATGACCAGGCTACTGACACCATCCTAACCGTCACTGAGAACATCTTTAGCTCCATGGGTGATGCTGGTAAGACACGCACCCCCAGGAAAACAAAAAACCCTACCAGGGTTCCCTAAGCCCACTGGACATCATCCCCTTGCGGACCTAACCACTTCACCCCAAGGAACTCAGCACAGTGTGGGCTTGCCAGCCACACAACCATAGGCTCATCATTAAAGCTCTCTGAACCCTCTGCTTCCCCTTCTGTAAAAGGAATATTAAGTCCTCTACCTTCCCTGGAGCATTTAAAGAATATACCAAAGTACGCACAAAAATATATAGAAAGTGACATGAAAGTGGTATAGCCTTCCCTACTATACCCCTGACCCCAAAAGTTTTCAGAGAGTGTCTCATCTTCTCAAGGCTACTGGCTGAAAATACCCATTGGAGACTGTCCTTCTCCCGTAAGAACCCACTGGAGAATCTTTTTCTCCAAGATCCTAAACCCAGAAAAAAAATAGCCCCAAAGAAATGATGCAAGAGCTTTTGCCAGTCTCTTTTTCTGTCCCTAAAGCCCCCATCTACCTTGTCTACACCACTTTTCCCCACCTTTGTCCCCACCCCTGACACCTCAGTGTCTCTGGCTTCCTCGCCTGACTGTGCCCTATGCTCTCAGGGGAGATGGTGCGACAGGCCCGCATCCTGGCCCAAGCCACATCTGACCTGGTCAATGCCATCAAGGCTGATGCTGAGGGGGAAAGTGATCTGGAGAACTCCCGCAAGCTCTTAAGTGCTGCCAAGATCCTAGCTGATGCCACAGCCAAGATGGTAGAGGCTGCCAAGGTACAAAGCCTTCTGTGCACACTCCCAGACTGGACCCTAGAGGGAAGTAGAGCAGTCCAGATGGTCACCCTCATCTGATGAGGGAGACCCAGGAAAAGCAGAAAACACAAGAGGACAAATATAGGAGCACTCAGGAAATGAATGAGCCCCAAGGCTGTGGGTGAGCCATGACCCAGGCTTTTTTTTTTTTTTTTTTTTTAAAGATGTGGTCTCACTGTGTTGCCCAGGCTGGTCTCAAACTCTTGGACTCAAGTGATCCTCCCACCTTGGCCTCCCGAAGTGTTAGGATTGCAGGCATGAGCCACCACACCTGGCCTAAAATTATTTTTTAATTGACATAATTTTACATATTCATGAGGTACATAGTGACATTTCAATACATGTATAGTAATCAGATCAGAGTAATTAACATATCCATCATTTATCCAAATATTTATCATTTCTTTGTGTTGGGAACATTCAGTATCCTCCCCCTAGCTATTTGGAACTATATAATAGTCTTAACTTTAGTCATCCTACAGTGGTGTAGAACGCTAGAACTTACTCCTATCTAGCTATAATTTTGTGTCCTTTAATAAATCTCTCCCATTCCTCTGTAGTAGGCAACCAGATCCTTTTTCTTTAAGTCCAAGGTCTTAAGTCCAAGGCCTATTTTTACCTTCTTTGCTGCTACCCTGCCTGGGATTCCTTTCCTTCCTGGTCTCCCCTGTGAATACACATAGGCATTCAGTCTCTGGGGCCTCTGCTGCCAGCAGGACACTGAGACACCAGCATGCAGAGAACCATCAGAAAGAAGCCCAGATGATTCCTAGGCCCCCTGGACTCTGGGGCTTTTCAGTTGGCAGGAGTAAGCAGGTCCCCTGCTTTGGTATTCCTGAGATGCCTGCTCTAAACTGAGTCCTCCTTTGTCCAGGAAGCCCTACTCACCTCACTCGTGTGGTATTCCCCAAGGAGGGGAAGACAAAACAATTCCACCTTAAGAAAGGATTTCAGCATCCAGTGGGAATCCTAGCCCCCTGAGGTTTCCCATTGACCTTCATGAGTCAGCTCCTCTCAAAGGTGATTGCCTTTTGGTGGGGCTAGTTAGAGATGACTTCAGGAAAATACATGAATTTTAAACTGAGTCTAGAGGAGTGAGAGAGGAGCTTCTTTAGGATCCACAGGAGAGCTGGGTGATGACTGTCTTTCCACCTCTCCCTCAGGGAGCAGCTGCCCACCCTGACAGTGAGGAGCAGCAGCAGCGGCTGCGGGAGGCAGCTGAGGGGCTGCGCATGGCCACCAATGCAGCTGCGCAGAATGCCATCAAGAAAAAGCTGGTGCAGCGCCTGGAGGTGAGGCTGGGAGTTTCACCAGGAGCAAGAGAGAGTGTGGGTGCTGTGGGAGGAATGAACTGAAAGGGAGGTGCGGAGAGTAAGTTAATACGTCCTTGAGGCATAACCTGGGCAAGGTAGGCCAGGGACTGGGCTGGGCATGGGAATCCATGGGCTTGGTCTGACTACTCTTGTCTTCACAGCATGCAGCCAAGCAGGCTGCAGCCTCAGCCACACAGACCATCGCTGCAGCTCAGCACGCAGCCTCTACCCCCAAGGCCTCTGCCGGCCCCCAGCCCCTGCTGGTGCAGAGCTGCAAGGTAAGACTCTAGGAAGGATGTGGGAGTGGAAGAGGGAGACTTGTGGGTCTCTTATGACATTTTCACCTACAGGCAGTGGCAGAGCAGATTCCACTGCTGGTGCAGGGCGTCCGAGGAAGCCAAGCCCAGCCTGACAGCCCCAGCGCTCAGCTTGCCCTCATTGCTGCCAGCCAGAGCTTCCTGCAGGCAAGGCACCCCCTCTGCACTTCTCTGACCTGACCTTCCCACCTTTCTAAGCTTCCATCTCCCACAGTTTGAATCTCTGCCAAGAGCCTCTTTCCCAATACCAAGCCCCAGTGTTCCCTACATCCTGACCATCATCAGTCCTTGTACCCAAGCCCAGAGGGAGGATGGCACACTTCATCCACCTGCCTATTCCCCAACAGCCAGGTGGGAAGATGGTGGCAGCTGCAAAGGCCTCAGTGCCAACGATTCAGGACCAGGCTTCAGCCATGCAGCTGAGTCAGTGTGCCAAGAACCTGGGCACCGCGCTGGCTGAACTCCGGACGGCTGCCCAGAAGGTATGGAAGCTGGTTCTGGCTTTGGAAGATGAGGCTGGAGTCCTGTGATGAGAGGAAATCTGTGCAGAATAACCCAATACGCAGATAATTGTGTAATCAGAGGCATTGGTGAGACACAGCAGGACCTTCTACACCCAAAACCCCTTTCTTATCATAGGCTCAGGAAGCATGTGGACCTTTGGAGATGGATTCTGCACTGAGTGTGGTACAGAATCTAGAGAAAGATCTACAGGAAGTGAAGGCAGCAGCTCGAGATGGCAAGCTTAAACCCTTACCTGGGGAGACAGTAAGTATGTTTAAGACCTCATTCTTACTCAAATCCTAAAGTCTTCCTTCACCTCCGTGCCCCAGAGCTGCTCAAAACCTTTCCTTCCTTCCTTTTTCTTTTTTCTCTTTCTCTCTTTTATTTTTCTTTTCTTTCTTCTTCCTTCCTTTTTTCTTTCTCTTTCTCTCTCCTTCCTTCTTTCTTCCTTCCTTTCTTTTCTTCCTTTCCTCTCCTCTTTCTTTTCTTTTCTCTTTTCTTTTCTTTTCCGTTCTTTTATTTCTTTTTCTTTCTTGATGGAGTCTCGCTCTGTCACCTAAACTGTAGTGCAGTTGTGCAATCTCAGCTCACTGCAACCTCTGCCTCCTGGGTTCAAGCCATTCTCCTGCCTCAGCCTCCTGAGTAGCTGGGATTACAGGCATGCACCACCACGCCTGGCTAATTTTTGTATTTTTAGTAGAGATGGGGTTTCGCCATGTTGCCCAGGCTGGTCTTGAACTCCTGACCTCAGGTGATCCACCTGCCTCAGCCTCCCAACGTGCTAGGATTATAGGTGGGAGCCATCGCACCCAGCCCAAAACATTTATTTAAATTGCCACCTGTCCCCAAGTACCTTCTCAGGTTCCTTCTCCTCACCTTCTCCTTTCTCAAGCCCAATTCTTCCCCCTTCATCCTTAGATGGAGAAGTGTACCCAGGACCTGGGCAACAGCACCAAAGCCGTGAGCTCAGCCATCGCCCAGCTACTGGGAGAGGTTGCCCAGGGCAATGAGAATTATGCAGGTATGTGGGCAGAGAGCCAGGCATGGGGCATATTGTGAGGGAGGTAGGAAAATGGGAGCTGGATGAGGGATGGGACTGACAGACGAAACCACTGGAATCAGGGCCTGGCAATGAAAGCACCTTCCCTTCCCTCTTTCTCCTCATCTCCCAAGGTATTGCAGCTCGGGATGTGGCAGGTGGGCTGCGGTCACTGGCCCAGGCCGCTAGGGGAGTCGCTGCACTGACGTCAGATCCTGCAGTGCAGGCCATTGTACTTGATACGGCCAGTGATGTGCTGGACAAGGCCAGCAGCCTCATTGAGGAGGCGAAAAAGGCAGCTGGCCATCCAGGGGACCCTGAGAGCCAGCAGCGGCTTGCCCAGGTCAGATACTGGGAAAGGGCCACTCCCTCTCCCCCAGGTTCCTTCATAAGGCCCACCCTGATTGAGGCCAAAGCTTCTGAGCCTCGTCCACACTCACAGAGTGATGTCTTCTTGGGTCTGCTCTTGACAGCCCCTCTGTGGATTCCACCCTTATGTTCTCTTAGTCTTTTTTTTTTTTTTTTTTTTGAGACAGAGTTTTGCTCTTACTGCCCAGGCTGGAGTGCAATGGCGCAATTTCGGCTCAGTGCAGTCTCCGCCTCCTGGGTTCAAGTGATTCTCCTGCCTCAGACTCCCTAGTAGCTGGGACTACAGGCATGCGCCACCACACCCAGCTAATTTTTGAATTTTGTTTTAGTAGAGACAGGGCTTCACCATGTTGGCCAGGATGGTCTCGATCTCTTGACCTCGTGATCTGCCCCCCTCGGCCTCCCATAGTGCTGGGATTACAGGCGTGAGCCACTGTGCCCGGCCCTCTTGGTCTTGTAGAAGTGTCTCAGTTGGATTCAGTCATGGGCTGAGCTAAACACCAAGTTTGGGGAAGTTTAATTACTGTCACTTGAAACCCTAACCTCAGCCTGTTCACCTACAACGCCCCCTTTCTTTTTTCACTTTCAGAGGCAGTAGAGCTAGTCATCTCCCATGTCGCGTGAATGGAGGCGATCTCTCAAATTCTTTTCACTTGGGCAACCCTGTCTCCTTTCTCACCCCAGGTGGCTAAAGCAGTGACCCAGGCTCTGAACCGCTGTGTCAGCTGCCTACCTGGCCAGCGCGATGTGGATAATGCCCTGAGGGCAGTTGGAGATGCCAGCAAGCGACTCCTGAGTGACTCGGTAGGAGGACGGTAGGGGGTGGGGGAACGTAGGAGTCAAAGAATGCCAGGCCTCTCCTTCCTCCCTCTCGGTTGTCCTTTGACCCTGACTTCCCAGATCTGTCCCCTTTCATTACTCCCAGGCTATGTGCCCACCTTTTCAGCCCTCCTTTACCAGACTTCTCCCTGCATCATTCCCCACTCTTCTGTCTGACTTCCCCTCTCACCTTGCAGCTTCCTCCTAGCACTGGGACATTTCAAGAAGCTCAGAGCCGGTTGAATGAAGCTGCTGCTGGGCTGAATCAGGCAGCCACAGAACTGGTGCAGGCCTCTCGGGGAACCCCTCAGGACCTGGCTCGAGCCTCAGGCCGATTTGGACAGGACTTCAGCACCTTCCTGGAAGCTGGTGTGGAGATGGCAGGCCAGGCTCCGGTATGAAGAGGCAGAGGGTCTGGTTGAATGGTTCCCACTAAGGGTTAGATAGGAGGCAGTTGAGTGACCAGTCCTGACTTGCTCCTGGCTCCCTTCCCTCCCCAGTCTCTAGCACTACTTGAGTGTCTGGGAAAGAAGATCCCTTTTAGAGACAGATAAGAAAGGACAGGACAATGCATTGACCTTGTCACCTTCAACAGAGCCAGGAGGACCGAGCCCAAGTTGTGTCCAACTTGAAGGGCATCTCCATGTCTTCAAGCAAACTTCTTCTGGCTGCCAAGGCCCTGTCCACGGACCCTGCTGCCCCTAACCTCAAGAGTCAGCTGGCTGCAGCTGCCAGGTAAGTAGTTGCTGAGAAGCCCAGCCCTGGACTGTGTGAGAGAGACTGGGGAGCAGGCAGTTCATGAGAGCTTCTTGGCTTAGGAATGGTTATAGGCAAAAGATAAATACTTACATAGGACCCAGGAATGATGACCTATTCACCTTTTCACTCAACTTTCTGTCACTCCCAGGGCAGTAACTGACAGCATCAATCAGCTCATCACTATGTGCACCCAGCAGGCACCCGGCCAGAAGGAGTGTGATAACGCCCTGCGGGAATTGGAGGTAGACACATGGCAGGCTGATGGCATTGAGGTTGAGGGAAGTGTTCTGGTTTTGGGCCTGAGGGAGGTGTCTTGGATCTCACTTTGCCCTCCCCCTACACAGACGGTCCGGGAACTCCTGGAGAACCCAGTCCAGCCCATCAATGACATGTCCTACTTTGGTTGCCTGGACAGTGTAATGGAGAACTCAAAGGTCAGCACAGCCAGGAACTCGGAGGAGAGAGGGCAGTAGGATGGAGCTAACCAGATGCTGCCCTGGGGTTCTGAGGACATGCTCTGACTCCCCTGATGTCCTCTGTTCCTCAGGTGCTGGGCGAGGCCATGACTGGCATCTCCCAAAATGCCAAGAACGGAAACCTGCCAGAGTTTGGAGATGCCATTTCCACAGCCTCAAAGGCACTTTGTGGCTTCACCGAGGCAGCTGCACAGGTTATTTTCCTGAGATGGGTTCTTTGAATGGCCCCTACTTTCTTTACCCCATTTTCTCTCAGCCTGACATACCTGTAGATAAATCAAGAAGTTTATGTTTGCAAAGCCAACTCTATGGAATCTGGGTTGTCCTCCTCCTGAAGTGGAGACACTTGTCAGCAATTACTGAACACCAGCAGTTCTGATTTCTGTAATTCCTGAACCCTGGTACTTTGGTTAGGATTACACTGCCCAACCGTGAGGCCTTTTCCAGCTGGCTTTCTCAAAATATACTAATTAGCTTATACAAACTATTTTTTCATGTTATTACTACTTTCTTTTTTTTTTTTTTTTTTTTTGAGACAGCGTTTCGCTCTGTCGCCCAGGCTGAAGTGCAATGGCGTGATCTAGGCTCACTGCAAGCTCCGCCTCCCGGGTTCACGCTAGTCTCCTGCCTCAGCCTTCCAAGTAGCTGGGACTACAGGCGCTCACCACCACACCCGGCTAATTTTTTGTATTTTTTTTTTTTTTTTTAGTAAAGACAGGGTTTCACCATGTTAGCCAGGATGGTCTCGATATCCTGACTCGTGATCCACCTGCCTCGGCCTCCCAAAGTGCTGGAATTACAGGCGTGAGCCACCGCGCCTGGCCTGTAATCACTACTTTCTTTTTTTTTTTTTTTTTTTTTTTTTTTTGAGACCGAGTTTCGCTCTGTCGCCCAGGCTGGAGTGCAGTGGCGCGATCTAGACTCACTGCAAGCTCCGCCTCCCGGGTTCACGCCATTCTCCTGCCTCAGCCTCCCGTGTAGCTGGGACTACAGGCGCGCGCCACCATGCCCGGCTAATTTTTGTATTTTTAGTAGAGACGGGGTTTCACCGTGTTAGCCAGGATGGTCTCGATCTCCTGACCTCGTGATCCGCCCGTCTCGACCTCCCAAAGTGCTGGGATTACAGGCGTGAGCCACCGCGCCCGGCCAATCACTACTTTCTTAAAATAGTACTAGTGACAAAATTTCCAGTTACTTGAGTTATCACTTAACTTTGCCTTTTCCCACATTATCAAGTATAAAACTACCTATTAGCTGTAAAGTATTTTGCTTTAGTATATGAATCCTTAAAACAAACTGGCATCATAAGAGTTCACTTCAGACTATTTTCCCTGAAAGCCTACCATCCTAGCCCTCCATCTCCACCACCTCCCTGTGCCCTGTCAGAATAGGCGCCTTGCTCTAGATGGCTTGTTTGATTTTGTTTTTTTGTTTTTTTGGTTTTTTGTTTGTTTGTTTTTTGAGACGGAGTCTCGCTCTGTCGCCAGGCTGGAGTGCAGAGGCATAATCTCGGCTCACTGCAACCTCCGCCTCCCGGGTTCAAGTGATTCTCCTACCTCAGCCTCCCGAGTAGCTGGGACTACAGGCGCCTGCCACCACACCCGTCTGATTTTTGTATTTTTAGTAGAGACAGGGTTTCACTAAACCTCTTTGTTGTTTGTTTGGTTTTTTTCCCCCCACCTTCTGAAAATGCATAGAGGAAAAAGCAAAGCTACTGTGTATTGATTGAAGTATGAATCAAACATTAGGATGTTCTTTCCATCATAAAAATGGCTTTTTAACCCCTCCCTTCCTTTCCAAATATCTGACGCATGGAGGTGCTATAAATGTGAATTAGCCTAATAACCTTCATCAGTTTTGAACTGTCTTTAAAAGAGGCTTTGCTTGTGTGCACAAAGGTGTGTATTTATATATGGCTCTCAAACGTTTTACTGCTACTTACAGTAAGCCATACTTTTCACTCTAAGACCCAACATACACAAACATATCTAAATAGAGATTGGATAAAAACCCTTGCTATGTAGTTTTCCTTTTTATTAACTTTTTTAATCTTCTGAAATGCTTGAATATACTTAATGAAAACAGGAGAGTATTTTTTTTCTTCTTTATAGTGTAACCATTGTTTGCTAATGTATCTCCACTCATGGAGAACTCTGGAAAATAAGCCCTATTCTCTAAACTTACCTCTGCTCTCTTTTGTCCCTACTATCACTATTCATTTCCCACCTGCAATCTTTATTCCTCACCCCCACCCCCTTTTCTCTTCCCAGGCTGCATATCTGGTTGGTGTCTCTGACCCCAATAGCCAAGCTGGACAGCAAGGGCTAGTGGAGCCCACACAGTTTGCCCGTGCAAACCAGGCAATTCAGATGGCCTGCCAGAGTTTGGGAGAGCCTGGCTGTACCCAGGCCCAGGTAACTCAAGGGAACAGGGACCACAGGCGAGTCTGGGAAAGGGCAGACCGACCCCGTGGAGTAGAGGGAGGTGAGGCATGTGGGAAAGAGGGCAGGGACCCATCTCTGACCTTGCACACACAGCTTCTTTTTGGGTAACTGTCTTTTTCTGCCATGGGTCTCATCATTTATCAGTTACTGCTAAATTCACAACTTCTCTGTAGATGTTCGAGCTTACTCTCCCACATGCCCTCTTATGGTTTCTCCATTAGTATGTCTTTCCTCTCCCATGCCCAGTTCATCTTTGGGTATCTCTGTCTCCTAGATCTTGACTTTTCAGGTGACTCTGTTATTCCTGTTTTGACTCCTCAGGGTATTGCTCTCCATCCCCTGACCCTAAAATGGCTCCTCCTTGGGTATGTACACCTCCTTCCTGCCCTCATCGTGGCTCTTCCATGTGTCTCCTCAGGTGCTCTCTGCAGCCACCATTGTGGCTAAACACACCTCTGCACTGTGTAACAGCTGTCGCCTGGCTTCTGCCCGTACCACCAATCCTACTGCCAAGCGCCAGTTTGTACAGTCAGCCAAGGAGGTGGCCAACAGCACAGCTAATCTTGTCAAGACCATCAAGGTTCCCATTGCTTGAATTCCCAGCCTCTCCCTGACCTGTCCTATCTTCTCCCCCGAGTCCCCCAGTTATTCTCTGAAGCCTTCTACCAAATCCCCTCTGCCTGAGCCCAAGCTCTTTCTATTCAGACTGACCACCTAGCCTCTCCCCAAATCCTGTAAGTCCCAGGAAGGAGACCTGGACTTCACTTCCTATACCCCCTATGACTGCATCCCAAGTCCTGAGAGCCTCTCTGTCACTTCTAGGCGCTAGATGGGGCCTTCACAGAGGAGAACCGTGCCCAGTGCCGAGCAGCAACAGCCCCTCTGCTGGAGGCTGTGGACAATCTGAGTGCCTTTGCGTCCAACCCTGAGTTCTCCAGCATTCCTGCCCAGATCAGCCCTGAGGTGAGGCGATGTGAAGGGGGAACTGATGGGCCAGCTTATCACCTCATCTTCCAGGGACTCCTGAGACTTACCTTCCTGCCTCCCCTCTCCCCAGGGTCGGGCTGCCATGGAGCCCATTGTGATCTCTGCCAAGACAATGTTAGAGAGTGCCGGGGGACTCATCCAGACAGCCCGGGCCCTCGCAGTCAATCCCCGGGACCCCCCGAGCTGGTCGGTGCTGGCCGGCCACTCCCGTACTGTCTCAGACTCCATCAAGAAGCTAATTACAAGCATGAGGTATTGAGGGATGGGGAACCAGTGTGGCTGGGGGGCATACATTGTGGCAGAATGGAGGATGGGCACTTGAGTGCAATGAGATGGGATGGTGTTGGGAGGATACAGGGGAAGGATAGGCTGGCCTTGCAGTAGGGGATGTTCTTGGTGTTGGAGCCCATGATGTGTCTGCAGGGACAAGGCTCCAGGGCAGCTGGAGTGTGAAACGGCCATTGCAGCTCTGAACAGTTGTCTACGGGACCTAGACCAGGCTTCCCTCGCTGCAGTCAGCCAGCAGCTTGCTCCCCGTGAGGGAATCTCTCAAGAGGTGAGAGGGAGAGGGTTATATGGAAAGATGTGTCTAGGAAGAGAAATATCAGACTCAAAGAAGCTGGGGGATCAAGGAGTGGCTTCTTAGGGACATCAAAGGCTGGGATGTGCGAAGGAGGGTTAGGGTATTTGGTATGGACAGAAGAGCAGTTCTTTGTAGCCAGAGGGTCCTATTGCAGGTCACCATCAGGGCTAATGTCCACTTCCTCCCCAGGCCTTGCACACTCAGATGCTCACTGCAGTCCAAGAGATCTCCCATCTCATTGAGCCGCTGGCCAATGCTGCCCGGGCTGAAGCCTCCCAGCTGGGACACAAGGTACCTATGGAGACTCATGGGAAGTCCCAGGGAGTAGGGTGAGAGAGAGGGGACCTGACCCCTAGTCCAACCCCTTGCCTCAGGTGTCCCAGATGGCGCAGTACTTTGAGCCGCTCACCCTGGCTGCAGTGGGTGCTGCCTCCAAGACCCTGAGCCACCCGCAGCAGATGGCACTCCTGGACCAGACTAAAACATTGGCAGAGTCTGCCCTGCAGTTGCTATACACTGCCAAGGAGGCTGGTGGTAACCCAAAGGTATTGAGGGTTGGGAGGGAGGAGCTGTTACTAGCAGGAGGCTGGAGAAACAGGAACAACAGAGCTCCTCTCCTCTCCCCACAGCAAGCAGCTCACACCCAGGAAGCCCTGGAGGAGGCTGTGCAGATGATGACCGAGGCCGTAGAGGACCTGACAACAACCCTCAACGAGGCAGCCAGTGCTGCTGGGGTCGTGGGTGGCATGGTGGACTCCATCACCCAGGCCATCAACCAGGTTAGAGTCTTGGGGTGCCTTTGGACACTGAGGCTACCCTGGGCCAGAGCCTCCAAGCACAGTGGCAGAGACCCTAACAGTCTTTCCCTTTCCCTATCCTCCCCCCTCAGCTAGATGAAGGACCAATGGGTGAACCAGAAGGTTCCTTCGTGGATTACCAAACAACTATGGTGCGGACAGCCAAGGCCATTGCAGTGACCGTTCAGGAGATGGTGAGTTTGGGCGAGTCCCAGAGGACTGCCCTCGGAGAGCTGACTTTGGATATAACTTCACTCGTTCCATTATCACCAGGTTACCAAGTCAAACACCAGCCCAGAGGAGCTGGGCCCTCTTGCTAACCAGCTGACCAGTGACTATGGCCGTCTGGCCTCGGAGGCCAAGCCTGCAGCGGTGGCTGCTGAAAATGAAGAGGTAAACGTGGAGGCAACTCTGCCCTGCCCCCTGCCCCTTGTTCCTGATGTGTCAGTGTCTAGGGCTGTCCCACCCCCACCCTCTCTGGTCTTTCATAGAAAGGGGAACAGCCTCAGGGCCACTCTGCTGAAGACTAGTGAGGCTCTGGGTAGGGACAGAGGATCAAAGCCTTCAGTCACAGGTACAAAGGAAACAGCTCAGAATCTGGAGCCTTCCCGGGCCTGCCTTTCTGGCTTCTGCCGACCCTCATCTGGGCCTACAGCTGCTTCTCTGTTGTGCTGCCAGTCCATGTTCTTGTTCTTTCTTGTTGCAAACTCATGAAGCTCTTCCTTACCTAAGCCTCTAGCTTTCCAAGAAAGCAAGTAATTGGATCTTAGCAGGACACATGTAATGCCCATCCTTAAAACCCTCCATAACCCCATACAGGCCACATGGTAATCCACGGCCCTCTGATTCCCACATTCAAGCATAAAGTGCTCCTCCCCTTCTCCCCACTGTGCTTAACACAATCCTCACCACTTAGTGCCTGCGTGCTACTATTTTCTGTGTGTAGGAGGTGACCTTCTGCCTAAAGGATATGCAACCGGAAACGTCCTTGTGCTGGGAACCTTCTCTCTCTGCTTCTTTAGTCTACAATGCATGTTTTTTTCTATGTCCTTAGTGACTTTTCCAAGCACAGTGAAGGTACCCTGAGTGCCCCTTGTAAAATCCATCTGTCTTTCCCTTGGCTCACAGATAGGTTCCCATATCAAACACCGGGTACAGGAGCTGGGCCATGGCTGTGCCGCTCTGGTCACCAAGGCAGGCGCCCTGCAGTGCAGCCCCAGTGATGCCTACACCAAGAAGGAGCTCATAGAGTGTGCCCGGAGAGTCTCTGAGAAGGTGACGGTGCTCATCCCTGCAGATGGTGGGACTGCCTCCAAACTCTGTAGCCTTTGCCATCCTCCTCCAGCCCTCTCAGCCCTCTCCTGTTGTCACTTCTCCCAGGCATGGGCAACCTTTCCATTTCACATGGCACCTTCCACAGTCACCATGTGACATTCCCTACCCAGGTCTCCCACGTCCTGGCTGCGCTCCAGGCTGGGAATCGTGGCACCCAGGCCTGCATCACAGCAGCCAGCGCTGTGTCTGGTATCATTGCTGACCTCGACACCACCATCATGTTCGCCACTGCTGGCACGCTCAATCGTGAGGGTACTGAAACTTTCGCTGACCACCGGTAAGACAGGAACTGGGCCTAAGGGAGGCAGACAGGTCGGGGCACGGGGCTGGAAGAGGCAGGATAGCATTCGCTGGAATGGGGAAGACCTGGACCAGGCACCTTGGACGGGCTGGAGCGGGTAGGGGAGATCTGACTAAGCTGGGCCCTCCCTCAGGGAGGGCATCCTGAAGACTGCGAAGGTGCTGGTGGAGGACACCAAGGTCCTGGTGCAAAACGCAGCTGGGAGCCAGGAGAAGTTGGCGCAGGCTGCCCAGTCCTCCGTGGCGACCATCACCCGCCTCGCTGATGTGGTCAAGCTGGGTGCAGCCAGCCTGGGAGCTGAGGACCCTGAGACCCAGGTAGTGACCTGATGCCCCTAATTCCGGCTGGAATCACTTCCTGTCCCGCTTCTTCCTCCCATAGACCAGAGCCAACGCTTTCCCACACAGGTGGTACTAATCAACGCAGTGAAAGATGTAGCCAAAGCCCTGGGAGACCTCATCAGTGCAACGAAGGCTGCAGCTGGCAAAGTTGGAGATGACCCTGCTGTGTGGCAGCTAAAGAACTCTGCCAAGGTTGGAGAGAATGAGAGCAACATCAGGAGGGGCACTGGATTAACATACTTCCTCCTGTTCCTTAAAATCATTCCTCTTCACTCCTCTGATACCTCCAGGTGATGGTGACCAATGTGACATCATTGCTTAAGACAGTAAAAGCCGTGGAAGATGAGGCCACCAAAGGCACTCGGGCCCTGGAGGCAACCACAGAACACATACGGCAGGAGCTGGCGGTGAGTGAGAGTCTGGGGCATCAGTGACTAGGGTCAGAGAGAGGGATCCTGAAAGCCTGTGAACCTGTGCCACACATATACTCACAGCTGGAGTCACACACAGTCTTCTCTCTCATCTATCGCCAGACTTTTTTTTTGAGAAGGGTCTTGCTCTGTAGCCATCCTCCTCCAGCCTTCTCAGCCCTCTCCTCTTGTCATTTCTCCCAGGTGTGGGTGACCTTTCCATTTCACATGGCATCTTCCTCAGTCACCATGTGACTTCCCCTACCCCAGCTCTCCCACACCCTCCTTCTGGAGTGCAGTGGCGTGATCTCAGCTCACTACAACCTCCACCTCCCAGGTTCAAGTGCTTCTCATGCCTCAGCCTCCTGAGTCACTGGGAATACAGGTGCATACCATGCTGGCTAGTTTTTGTATTTTTAGTAGAGATGGGGTTTCACCATGTTGACCAGGCTGGTCTCGAACTCCTGGCCTCAAGTGATCCACCCGCCTTGGCCTCCCAAAGTGCTGGGATTACACTCATGAGCCACTGTGCCAGTGAGCTACATTCATGTCTGTCCCCTACCCACTTGTTTATTCCTTAGCATGTGACAACTGTATTTTTTCACCACCCTCCCACTTTCTCCAGTCACTAGTGGCCTCTTCTTAGTTGCTACATTCAGTGGCCACTTCTTGGCCTTCATCCTCTTTGAATATTTCGAAAGCATCTGACTGTGTTAACAAGCCTCTCTTTGAAATTCTTTCTTCTGCTGGGCATGGTGGCTCACGCCAGCACTTTGGGAGGCCAGCGGGTGTAATCCCAGCACTTTGGGAGGCTGAGGCGGGTGGATCACAAGGTCGGGAGTTCGAGACCAGCCTGGCCAATATGGTGAAACCCCGTCTCTACTAAAAATACAAAAATTAGCTGGGCGTGGTGGCACGCGCCTGTAGTCCCAGCTGCTTGGGAGGCTAAGGCAGGAGAATCGCTGGAACCCGGGAGGCAGAGGTTGCAGTGAGCCAAGATGGCGCCACTGCACTCCAGCCTGGGCAACAGAGTGAGACTCCATCTCAAAAAAAAACAAAAAAGAAAAAAAATGAAATTCTTTCTTCCCTTGGCCTAGATACTGGCTTTTCTCTTGTTTCTCGAACGTCATTGAATCACCTTTAACTTAGTAAATGTGGAGGCCTTCCCAGGGTTGTACAAATAGTCTTCCTTCTCTCTTCTCTTCTTTGGCAAGTTTAACCACTTTCATTATTATTCTGTAAGAAGCAGACATCCAGTTCTGAGTTGAGTTATTTTCAACTGCCTGTTTGACATCACCACCTAGATGCAGTGCCTCCGAACCATGACATGGTCCTCCTAATGGTGGGAACACCCTTGCAGTCATGAAGATTCCACCTCAGTCATCTTTGACTTCACCATCTTAGCCACCATATCCAGGCTGTTGCCACGTCCTTTCATTCCTCCTCCCTGGTTCCCTGTCCGCACTCTGGTTCACACTTCCATACTCTCCCGCAATTTGGCTGTGGCACCAGTTTTCTCCCTGGTCTCCCTGCTTCTGGTCCCTGCCACTCTCCTCTCTCCCTACTCATCTTTCTAATTTCTAAATGCATCTTTCTAAGGTTCTGTTTTCACTTTTACTTGAAGATGTCCAAGTTGGAACTCTTGACTTTCTGCCTCCCATACCTGGTCCTTTCCTGGTCTTCCCCCATCTCAGTAAATGGCACCTCTTAGTAACTCAGTTCCTAAAGCCAGAAACCTAGCTTCAATATATTAGACTTCTCTCTTTCTCTCATTCCCCACATCTAAGTTTTGCTAGTGCCCCTTCCAAATACAGCTCATTTTTTCTTTTTATCTCCTACCACTACCACACTGTCCAAACCATCATCAGTCCTTAACTGGATTTATGCAGTAGTCTCTATCCAGTCACCATGCTTCAACACTTGCCCCCTCCAATCCTCCTTTGTACACAGTAGCTAAAATTATGTTTTTAAAATATAAATTAGAGTCTGGACATGCTGGCTGATGCCTGTAAAATCCCAGCGCTTTGGAAGACTGAGATGGGAGGATCACTTGAGTGAGTTCAAGACTAGTCTGGACAACATAGCAAGATCCTGTCTCTACAAAAAATTTAAAGATTAGCTGGGCAAGGTGGCCCATGCCTGTCCCAGTTACTCATGAGTCTGAAGGCAGGAGGATCCCTTGAGCCCAGGGGTTCAAGTCTGCAGTGAACTATGATCACTCCAGTGCACTCCAGCCTGGGTGACAGAGCAAGAAATATATATATATTAGATTATGTCACTTCACTACTTAAAACCCATTAGTGATGGCTCTGCTTGCTTCTCCAGTCTCATCCTACTCTCTTCCTTTCTGTGCCCCATCCCCCTGCACCATCAGTTCTGAGAACATGCCAAGCTCTTATCTGCTGCAGGCTCTTCCACTCAGTTCTCTCCAGCTTTTTGAACACTGTGCTCCTTCCAGTTCATCAGGCTTCAGCCTCAATGTCACCTCCTCAGAGAGCCCTTCCCTGACCACCTATTTGAAGTAGTTCTCATCACAGCACTGTCTCTATTCTCTCATAATCCAAATCACAGTCCTCAGTTTTGCTGCTTGTTTATTTATTTATTACCTGTGTCCAAAACCAGAATGTAAGCTCCATGAGAACAGGGAGCATCCCTAGCCCCTTGCATAGAATCTGCCACCTAGCTGATCTTTAATAAATGTTTGCAGATTGAACCCGTACATCAAAATATTTTATGACTTTCACATATTATGTAAAAGTCCAAGTTCCTCGGTGTGATATTCAAGTCCCCAATAACCTTTTCTTCACCATTCCTATATTCCAGAACATTCCTTGATACTTTCCGATGTGACATCTTGGTTGTTCATGTCCTACCATTTACCTAAAATGCCCTCCTATCATCTGTATATCTTTTATGGCCTAGCTCTGCCTCTCACCCCTTCAAGGCTTCTCTCTATTTTGGGAATGAAAACCCAGCCAAAAGCCACTTTTGTAATTACTTTTGTGATTTCAAACAAACAAACAAACTCCCCAGTTGCTTCAGTCAGAAACAATAACCAACTGCCTTGTTACATTCACTGTGATGTGTGAATGTCTGCACCAAATCACATGCACACAGAGTTCTACGCTGTCTCATAGTCTCAGCCACTGTAAAATCTTTCTTCTTCTTCTGCCCCCACAGGTTTTCTGTTCCCCAGAGCCACCTGCCAAGACCTCTACCCCAGAAGACTTCATCCGAATGACCAAGGGTATCACCATGGCAACCGCCAAGGCCGTTGCTGCTGGCAATTCCTGTCGCCAGGAAGATGTCATTGCCACAGCCAATCTGAGCCGCCGTGCTATTGCAGATATGCTTCGGGCTTGCAAGGTAGAAATCCTTGAGGCATTTCCGTGAGGCAGCTTTGGGCCAGAACATAGTGGGAGAGAAACTGTAGGGATCTGCGGGGCCTAAAGCTAACATATTACTCTGGGGACAGGAAGCAGCTTACCACCCAGAAGTGGCCCCTGATGTGCGGCTTCGAGCCCTGCACTATGGCCGGGAGTGTGCCAATGGCTACCTGGAACTGCTGGACCATGTACTGCTGGTAAGGGAGGGCGTTGCTTGTTCCTCATACCAGCCTCCCTGAATACACAGCCCTCTTCCTGCAGGCCTCGCACCCTGCTGTCTGTTTTGCTCAGATCTCCTCCCTACCCCACCCTCTACTTCCCAAATCTGTTCTCCTTTCCAAGTCTCCCTTTCTCCCAGGCCCCATCCTTCTTATCATCTTTGGTTCTCCCAGTCACCTCTTCCTCTTCCTCTTTTTCTTTTCTCCTCCCTTCCCACCTGACCACCCCCTTCTCTACTTTCGTCGTCTCCTCTTTCATCTCATCATTCTCCTTGCTCCTTGTCAGCCGGTGAGTGACACAGCCCCACTGTCTCTATCACGTGTGAGGTGTGATGCATGATGTGTACTTGGATAGGCAGCGTGGAGTTTGAGGGCTATGGTGTGGAGTGCTCTAGGGATAGGGGTGAGGGGGCCATGGTCTGCCCTATTTCATAGATCAGGGTAGACCCTAAGATGTGATGCTCTTTGTCCCCTGCCCGCTTCTTGCCCAGACCCTGCAGAAGCCAAGCCCAGAACTGAAGCAGCAGTTGACAGGACATTCAAAGCGTGTGGCTGGTTCCGTCACTGAGCTCATCCAGGCTGCTGAAGCCATGAAGGGTGAGGGGTGACCAGGGACAGGGACGGATGGAAAACCCTTATCATGGTGTGATCTCTGCTTCCTGGCTGGACAGCTCTGTGCTAGCCTCTGACCATAGTCCCCACAGATGCCAGGGCCTGATGATACTAACCATGCTCCCTGGTGCTTTTGACCTCCCCACTCTGCCTTAGCCTCTTTCCTCTTCCTTCATCCCACCAGGAACAGAATGGGTAGACCCAGAGGACCCCACAGTCATTGCTGAGAATGAGCTCCTGGGAGCTGCAGCCGCCATTGAGGCTGCAGCCAAAAAGCTAGAGCAGCTGAAGCCCCGGGCCAAACCCAAGGTCAGTCCTGCTCCCTTCCTCTTCCACCCTCACCATGGCAGTGTCCCCACCTTCATCTCTGACTTTACATCTCTTTCTGCAACCTTCGCTTATTGCAGGAGGCAGATGAGTCCTTGAACTTTGAGGAGCAGATACTAGAAGCTGCCAAGTCCATTGCAGCAGCCACCAGTGCACTGGTAAAGGCTGCGTCGGCTGCCCAGAGAGAACTAGTGGCCCAAGGGAAGGTGAGTGCTTAAATACCCAGAAGAATGGGGACAGGTTGGCACTTTGATGTCCACATCCACATCCATAGCCAGCGAGTCTTTGAAGTGAGGAAAATGCAGGTCTAAGTAGGCTCTTCTCCTTCCTACAGGTGGGTGCCATTCCAGCCAATGCACTGGACGATGGGCAGTGGTCCCAGGGCCTCATTTCTGCTGTAAGTGTGCAATACCACTAGGTCTCTCTCAGTTTGAGAGACTTGAGAAGGCTGGAGTGGGGATGGACCAGGGCAAGGGGCATATTTTTAAGCAAACTCTCCCTGCTTTAGGCCCGGATGGTGGCTGCGGCCACCAACAATCTGTGTGAGGCAGCCAATGCAGCTGTACAAGGCCATGCCAGCCAGGAGAAGCTCATCTCATCAGCCAAGCAGGTAGCTGCCTCCACAGCCCAGCTCCTTGTGGCCTGCAAGGTCAAGGCTGACCAGGACTCGGAGGCAATGAAACGACTTCAGGTGAGAACCCTGACCCATCCCATTGTCCCTTGGGCTATACTGCTTCAAACTGTCACTCCCGAGATGTATGTTTCTATGAGAGAATTGAGGTACTGTCTCAACTGGGACCGTACCTGAGTTCTCAACCTAGGCCACTTTCTCTCTGCCCAGGCTGCTGGCAACGCAGTGAAGCGAGCCTCAGATAATCTGGTGAAAGCAGCACAGAAGGCTGCAGCCTTTGAAGAGCAGGAGAATGAGACAGTGGTGGTGAAAGAGAAGATGGTTGGCGGCATTGCCCAGGTGAGCTTCACCCCAGATGCTGAGGGACGCTGTCAGGAGGGCAGTCATGTTGCCTGCGCTGGTCCCAACTACCCTATGCCCCTGCTGTGCATCCTCACTGAACTAAGTCCCCGATCTCCACCCTCAGATCATCGCAGCACAGGAAGAAATGCTTCGGAAGGAACGAGAGCTGGAAGAGGCGCGGAAGAAACTGGCCCAGATCCGGCAGCAGCAGTACAAGTTTCTGCCTTCAGAGCTTCGAGATGAGCACTAAAGAAGCCTCTTCTATTTAATGCAGACCCGGCCCAGAGACTGTGCGTGCCACTACCAAAGCCTTCTGGGCTGTCGGGGCCCAACCTGCCCAACCCCAGCACTCCCCAAAGTGCCTGCCAAACCCCAGGGCCTGGCCCCGCCCAGTCCCGCAGTACATCCCCTGTCCCCTCCCCAACCCCAAGTGCCTTCATGCCCTAGGGCCCCCCAAGTGCCTGCCCCTCCCCAGAGTATTAACGCTCCAAGAGTATTATTAACGCTGCTGTACCTCGATCTGAATCTGCCGGGGCCCCAGCCCACTCCACCCTGCCAGCAGCTTCCGGCCAGTCCCCACAGCCTCATCAGCTCTCTTCACCGTTTTTTGATACTATCTTCCCCCACCCCCAGCTACCCATAGGGGCTGCAGAGTTATAAGCCCCAAACAGGTCATGCTCCAATAAAAATGATTCTACCTACAACCTCTGCCTGGCTTCAAGGGAGATACAAGTTTTCTCCCAGGGCAGTAGGAGAGACAGTGGGGTTGAATTCTGTCACCCAGCTTGATCCAGCTTGAAATGGGAGAGGGGAAGACTGGCAGTCTGCACCTGAGGTCCCTTCCTCCTTGCACCCGGACCCTAAAGTTATCCAATGGGGAAGTTGTGCCTGAGAAGTCATACTCCTGTTATCCTCACCTCCCTGGCCAGCACCTAAGCCTCACAAAGTGTCGTTCTGCTGCTGCTGGGACAGCAGCTACCACAGTTCCTTGTGGCTACCAGGACATTCTGTTCTTCATAGCTACTCAGGGTATGTCAACAAATCCAGTCCTTGACCAAATTCAAATTTTCAAAAGAAGCTTTGCTAAAAATAATATGCCTGTAAGTGTCTGAGCCTAAGAGAACTATGGCCACAAAACTGATTGAAGCCATTAGCAAGCAGAAAAATCCCAACTTGAGGCTGCCTCGGGTAGGCACCGCTCTTGATTGGGTTGGGACACTCCTGCCTAGGGTAGCGCTAAAAGTGAAGAGCTTGACCCAGGTGTGAGAATTTATTGTTAGAGGGGGCAGAGCTCCCCTAGTGGCCAGGAAGGTGCTAGCAGCCCTGTTCCAGCCACCCTGCTTATCTGGTGGGTCAGTGGAAAGAGGCAGTCAGAGAGGTGGATGCTGTGTGCTTCCACGTCCCCATCCAGCCACTCTGTCCATAATGCATGGACTCTCTGACAGTCGTCTTAGGTTGGCAACTATTTTCATGCGTGATTCTTTAGTCAGCCCTACCGCCCAGTACATTATTTCCTCAAGTAGAACACAAACGCCACCCATCTGCTACTAACACCTTCTACTCCCACCACATTAGGGAAAGCTTGAAGTAGATGGAATGTAGCTGGTAACGGTGGTTCGAGCCTCTAATCCCAGCTACTTAAAAGGCTGAGGCAGGAGGACTGCTTGAGACCAGGAGTTCAAGGCTGCAGTGAGCTATGATGGTGCCACTGTGCACCAGCCTGGGTGACGGAGTGAGAGCCCTTCTCTAAGAAAGTAGATGGAACTCTAGGACAGCCCATTAGGGATGGTGCCAACCTCCTACCATCACTCCTATCACCTGTGATTCATTCATTCAATATTTACTAAGCCATGCTTGTGCTAAGCACTGGAAAATTGAGATGTATTATCACTTCTCTGACGCAGAGGACTGGCAACTCCAGTACATACTGTGGGGGCTCCCTAATCCCAGATTCAATGTCATAGTATCAGTTGAGGACCTTGGAGATCAAATCCCTTCTATAACCTCCCCGACAAGTGGCAGTCTAGACTTTGAACTCCAGCTAGGAGCCCAGGACAGCTGCTTACTCCTGTTACCATTTCCTTGTCATGTCCTCAGGAACTGGGACCAATCACATACTTCTCACTAGTGATACCTTGGGAGCCATCTGGGGAGAGGCTTTAAAACCTATTAAACCAGCAGCTCTTCAAATGTGGTCCTCAGACCCCTAGGGTTCCCTAAGACCTTTTCAGGGGTCCATAGGTCAAAATTATTTTCATAAAAATACCAAGACATTATTTTCCTTAGCTGGGGATGGTGGTGCACACCTGTAATTCCCAGCTACTTGGGAGGCTGAGGCACCAGAATTGCTTGAACCTGTGATGCGGAGGTTGCAGTGAGCCAAGATCACGCCACTGCACTCCAGCCTGGGCAACAGAGCAAGACTCAAAAAAAATGTCCTTGATGAAGTAAAAAAAAAAAATTTTTTTTTTTTTTTGAGACGGAGTCTCGGTCTGTAGCCCAGGCTGGAGTGTAGTGGCGTGATCTCGGCTCACTGCAACCTCCACCTCCTGTGTCCCGGTTCAAGCAATTCTCCTGCCTCAGCCTCCCGAGAAGCTGGGATTACAGGCACATGCCATCATGCCCAGCTAATTTTTGTATTTTTAGTAGAGACAGGGTTTCACCATGTTGGCCAGACTGGTCTTGAACTCCTGACCTCATGATCTGCCTGCCTCAGGCTCCCAAAGTGCTGGGATTACAGGCGTGAGCCACCACGCCCAGCCTAAATGTATTAATTTAATTAAACCTTAATCCTTAAGGAAAAGGCTTTTCAACATTCTGTCTGATAAAGTGGGAAGTATGCATAAGACATTTTGCATACCAAAGTATGATGGTTTTCTGGAGGAAATAACTTAGGCCATTCTTTGAGTTGTGAGCTGAACTAGCTGCTCTTTTATGGAATGCCACGTTTACTCAAAAGAATGGCCGACAAACTGTGGTTATCAGATTTAGGTAGCTGGCAGAACTTTTCTAAAAAGGAACAAAGTGAGTCTGTCACTTCAGGGAAAAATCTGACAGTGTTTGTTGCCAATGATATAATTCAAGCTTTCAAGTGAAAAATCGAATTTTGGAACACTTGTATTTGCTACATGAGCTTCACAGCTTCCCAAAATTTAAAACTTAAAGACTTTACTGTTCTCCAGTATAATACTATGAAGAAAAACAAAGACTTTACTGTTGAAACCTATTGTGATTTTTTTAAAATTTATTTATTTATTTATTTATTTATTTTTGAGACAGAGTCTCGCTCTGTTCCCCAGGCTGGAATGCAGTGGTGCAATCTCAGCTCACTGCAACTTCCACCTCCCAGGTTCAAGCAATTCTCCTGCCTCAGCCTCCTGAGTAGCTGGGACTACAGGCGCCCGCCACCACACCCAGCTAACTTTTTGTATTTTTAGTAGAGACAGGGTTTTGCCATGTTGCCCAGGCTGGTCTCGAACTCCTGAGCTCAGGCAATCCACCCACCTCGGCCTCCCAAAGTGCTGGGATTACAGGTATGAGCCACCGCACCTGGCCTGAAACCTATTGTGATTTTTAAAATAATGTATAATGAAACATTAATATTTGGAAGATTTGCATAGCTCAGTGAATCAATTATTTTCCATATGACGAATGCACGGTGTTACAAAATTATGCATGGGTAAAAGATCCAATCAGGTGCAGTTCAGAAAAACGGATTTTTTTTTTTTTTTTGAGACAGAGTCTTGCTCTGTCACCCAAGCTGGAGTGCAGTGGTGCAATCTCGGCTAACTGCAACCTTCGCCTCGCAGGTTCAAGTGATTCCCCTGCCTCAGCCTCCCGAGTGGCTGGGATTACAGGCGTGTGCCACCACCACACCTGACTAATTTTTGTAGTTTTAGTAGAGACGGGAGGGTTTCACCATGTTGGCCAGGCTGGTCTCGAACTCCTGACCTCAGGTGATCCACCCACCTTGGCGTCACAAAGTGCTGGGATTACAGGCGTGAGCCACCACACTTGGCCAAAACAACGGATTTTAGTTTAACAGTACAAAAAGGTCACTGATATGGTTTCACATTCTACATTGCAACTGCCCCTTAAGAAACTGCCAATTATCGGCCAGGCACAGTGGCTCAGGCCTGTAATTCCAGCACTTTGGGAGGCTGAGGCAGGAGGGTAGCTTGAGCCTAGGAGTTTGAGACCAACCTAGGCAACATAGTGGCACACCATCTCTATTTAAAAAAAAAAAAAAAAGGGCCGGGTATGATGGTGCACATGTGTAGTCCCAGCTACTGGAGGAGACTGAGGCGGAGAGAGCACTTGAGCCCAGAAGGTCAAGGCTGCAGTGAGCCAAGCCGTGATTGTGTCTCTGCACTACAGCCTGGGTGACAGAGCCAGACCTTGTCTCAAAAAAACATAAATATGCCAGGCCCGGCATGGTGGCTCACGCCTGTAATCCCAGCACTTTGGGAGGCCAAGGCAGGCAGATTATCTGAGTTCAGGAGTTCAAGACCAGCCTAGCTAACACAGTGAAACCCCGTCTCTACTAAAAATATAAAAAGTTATCTGGGCATGGTGGCGGGCGCCTATAGTTCCAGCTACTTGGGAGGCTGAGGCAGGAGAATGGCGTGAACCTGGGAGGCGGAGGTTGCAGTGAGCCGAGATTGTGCCACTGCACTCCAGCCTGGGCAACAGAGCGAGACTCCGTCTCAAAAAAACAAAACAAACAAACAAAAAATACAACAGTTAGCTGGGTGTGATGGCTTATGCCTGTAGTCCCAGCTACTCGGGAGGCTGAGGCGGGAGAATCACTTGAACCTGGGAGGCGGAGGTTGCAGTTAGCTGAGATCGCCCCACTGCACTCCAGCCTGGGTGACAGCGCGAGACTCTGTCTCAAAAAAATAAACAAATAATAATAATAATAAATAGGCCAGGCGTGGTGGTTCACGCCTGTAAGCCCAGCACTTTGGGAGGCCAAGGCAGGCGGATCACTTGAGGTCAGGAGTTCGAGACCAGCCTGGCCAACATGGTGAAACCCTGTCTCTACTGAAAATACAAAAATTAGTCAGGCATGGTGGTGCATGCCTGTAGTCCCAGCTACTCAGGAGGCTGAGACAGGAGAATTGCTTGAACCTGGGAAGCGGAGGTTGCAGTGAGCCAAGATCGCACCACCGCACTCCAGCCTGGGCAACAGAGCAAGACTGTTTCAAAATAAATAAATAAAATAATAAATAAATCTTTCCAACTGCATATCTGTTGTGAGACAGGATTTTCTTCATATGTCTCAGTAACCAACATATAGCAACAGATCAAATATGGAAGGAGATATTGATAATACAGCTGTCCCCTTGGAAGCCAGAGAGTAAAGAGATTCGTAAAAATGTAAAATAATTTCCATACTCTCATTAATTCGGGGAATGGGAATATAGTTATCTTTCATTTAGAACATTATGTTAACATGATTAATGTGTAATGAGTTTATTTTTGTTATTTTTAACGAATTGATACATATTTAAAATTTTTCTCAAGTTTCATTTTAATATGGCAACTATTGGTAGATATAACCCACTTCAACAAAAAAGCTGTTTGGGGGTCTTCAATACTTTTTAAGAGTGTAATGGGTTCTAAGACCAAAAGACCCACACCGTATTAGTATATTTGATAAGTACCCAGAAACTGGTACATAAAAAACTCATCTGGCAAATGTTCATGAAGTGCCAACTCTATGCCTGGTGCTGTGATAGGCCTTGGGGATTCAGAATTGAGAACAGTCGTTTCTGTTGAGGACTCACAGACCGGCGGAGGCGCCAAACCGGTATAAGAACAGTTATACCATGGGACTAGGATGAGGGTGAGAGCCCGCACCAAGAACACGCACCTATTAGGTGAGGCGGTGGGAAGAGAAGTGGCCAGGGAAGGCTTCCCAGAAAAGCTGACACTTACTGAGTCTTAAAGGCCACCAGGAATCAGCCAAGGGGATGGGCATTTTAGGGAGAGAGAACAGAATGCATAAACTGTGGAAGCTTTAAGAAAAGTATGGCTATTTCCAGCTCCTGCACGTAGCTCATTATGAATGCAGCATGAGGTACAAGTATGAATACTGGGGGTGAGGTTGGGCATGGAAGGAGATGAGGCCAGAGAGGCAGGCAACAGCCAAAACAACGGGCCTTCTATACCATATTAAGAAATGTGGATTTTTTTTTTCTCCTCAAAACAGGCAGGGTGCCCGCACGCCTGTAATCCCAGCTACTCAGGAGGCTGAGTCGGGAGGATCACTTAAGCCCATAAGTTCAAGACCAGCCTGGGCAATCTAGCAAGCTCCCGTCTCAAAAAAGGTGGGGGGACAGGGATTAGGGAGGGGTTTTGGAGAATTTTAGATAATATTCGCATTAACTTTTAAAAAGATATTTGACAACAATGTCATGGGACAGTCAAATGAATGAATGAGTTGAGGAACTAGAAGTAAGACTACAAAACAGACTGAAGAAAACATAAGGCGCGGCCAGAGGCCAGCCCAGACCGACCCGAGGAGGAACCTCCTTGGTAGAAGGCAGCCTCTCCAGGATTAGGTGGTTGTGAGACGCGAAGGGCAGGGGATACCCAGTGGTCTAGCATAGGCTACTGGTGGATGAGGCGTCTTCCACGGAGTTAGAGGAACACTGCGAGGTCAGGCCAGGGTTGCTCTCCGTGTGGCTAGCAGGCAGCTAAACAGATCTGAATGCATTTCCACGCCACCTCCCCACCGCCCCGGCCAGCGGCCTCGGGTTCCCACGGTCCCCAGCCCACTGCAAAATCCAGGCCTCCCGCCCCTCTATGACTGGAGGGTGGGGGCGAGGCTAGCAGCTCCCTCCCGGCTTCCTCCGCTTGTTCTCTCCTCCCCTTCCCCCTCCTCCCGGCGGCTCTCCACTTCCTTTCCCCCCACCCCACCCCAGGGAAAAACGAAAACAAACACCCTCGCGCCTCGCGCCTCCGACTCCCAGACCCCACGACCCGGCTCCGGCGCTGGTTTGGCGGCCTGGGTGGGAGAAGGCACCTCGCCCCGGACCCCCTATGCCCCGCAGCTCAGTGACTCTTCCCCTCGCCCTCCGCCTTCCCCGCCGCAGCCCGGCTCCGCCTCCCAATGGGGAAACATCCCAAAAAAGGGCAGAAAAGAAATTTCAGCATAAAGTTGGCCCACTGGGAAAGAGAGGAGCGTCCGCGGGGAGCGGGGGAGAAGAGGGAAGGCGCGCGGAGGGGAGTGGGGCCAGGCGGAGCCAGGGGCGGGGAGCGGAGGGGCTCGGGACGCGTCCGGGTGGGAGCGGGGGCGGGGAACGCGCGGTGACCAGCCTGGCCGCAGCCGCGTGGAAAATATGCGGGGCACGTGGGGGGCGGGGCGGGGAGCTGGGTCCTGAGCCGCCGGGTGCTCGCAGGAAGGGCCTGGCTCCAGGGGCAGGGGCTGGGAGGGGAGGCGAGGGGATGAGAGGTCAGGCCGGTCCTGGGGGCAGCAAGCCCGGCCACACTCCCCACCGCGACCGGGGCTCTGGGCTCGCTTCCTGCTTCAGTTTCCCCAAGCTCCCGATGAGACTCCGCTACTACCACCACGTCGATAACGCAAACCTAGAGGGACTCAGGGTAAACTGAGGCACTCAAACTGCCGAGGAGCTCCGCCTCCCGAGAGACATTTAATCCGGGGGGATTTGCAGGAAACTTCTAAATTAAGGGTAGCGGCTGCTGCAGCTGAGGGGGGGCACGCCGGTCCCTGCGCCCGGGCAGCTGCCGTGAGCTCACGCCCCGAAATAGCCCCAGGGGCCCCAGCCGCAGCTGCCACTGGGTCCGGCTGTCACTCAGAGGAAGCACGGAGCCCCCAGCCCAAGGGTCCCCTCCCCTTCGCATCGCCGGGGTTTTTCCAGCCGACCGTCGGCCACTTTTTCCTCCGACGGCTGGCAGGGAAGAGGGGGATGGGGGCGGGACCCCAAGGGAGGCGGTCCCCAGTGGGTGGGCGAAGGGGGCGGCCGCACCCCCCGGCCGGGCCGTGCTTCTGCCCCTACAAGGTTTGGGCCGAGGTGGGGGAGGGTCCTGGTTGCCGGCCCCGCCCGGTCCCTCCCCGCCTTTTAGGCGCCCGCGTGGCCGGGACGTCCCAGTCCCGCTCCGTCCTCCTCGCCTGCCACCGGTGCACCCAGTCCGCTCACCCAGCCCAGTCCGTCCGGTCCTCACCGCCTGCCGGCCGGCCCACCCCCCACCGCAGCCATGGACGCCATCAAGAAGAAGATGCAGATGCTGAAGCTGGACAAGGAGAACGCCATCGACCGCGCCGAGCAGGCCGAAGCCGACAAGAAGCAAGCTGAGGACCGCTGCAAGCAGGTTAGGGCCGGGCCCAGTGCAGCCTGCTCTCCCCGCGCCTAGGGCAAGGGTGGGCCGCTGCCATGGGTCCCCCAGCCCCGGGCCTGCCCGCCAAGGCTCTCTCTCACCCAGGGTGGGGGCTGGGCCTTCGCAGTACCCTCAGGGCCTTCGCCAGAGCCGCTTCTCTCCCCTACAATAGCCTGGGGAAGCCCCAGGCCCCTGGTTTCCACTCTGCCTTTGCAGAGCGCGGTTGGTCCTGCTCCTTGGGGCCTGAAGTTTTCTCTGTACCCTCAACGGGTCCCACCAGTACCCTTGACTGTACTGTCCCTTTTATGTTATTCCGCTTCCATCCCAGTAGCCTCCAAATCTTAGTAGCGCCCCTACACACACCGCGTCTCCATTCTGGGCCTGGGCCCCCTCCCAGCCTGGCTGACCAAGTCCCCTCTGTCCCAGCTGGAGGAGGAGCAGCAGGCCCTCCAGAAGAAGCTGAAGGGGACAGAGGATGAGGTGGAAAAGTATTCTGAATCCGTGAAGGAGGCCCAGGAGAAACTGGAGCAGGCCGAGAAGAAGGCCACTGATGTGAGTGTGGACTTGGGGGACAATGGGAGGAGTTAGGGCTCTGGGAAGGGGCCCCCCGGGTATGGGAATAAGAGGATTGGGGCACCTTATCCCCTTATGTCCCCAGCGCCAGGAGAGAAATGGTTTCATCTCAGTAACCAGGGCTAGGGTAAACTTACACAAGTAATCCAAGACAGTGGATAAATCAAAACCACCTACCACTTCCCCCAGAGGACTTAGCCCTGTAATTCTGTTTGGTTCCAGCTTTTAGAATGTACAGTGATCAAGCAATGAGTCATTGTGGGGGTGGAAGGTATAAGAATTTACCATCTACCTCAATTAATCCTCCAGCTGAAATTGGAGAGGAGACTGCAGCCGTTTGGGGATGGGGGGATGTGGATGTGAGGTACTAGCCTGCAGGAGGAGGGAGAGGGATCCAGAGATGAGACCCCACTTGAGTTACAACCCTAAGGGGCCATTAGAAATTCCCTGGCCTTGACCTCTGGCTTCAGCAGCCCTGCTGTGCCCTGGGGCCCCAGCTCAGGTTCTAATGGCTCCTCATTTACCCTCATTAAGCTGTCAGCCTGGAGACCATGCCAGGCCACAGGGCAGAGGGACAGGGCCACAAATGCCAAAGCAGCTACCTTGGCAGGTCATTTACCCTGAGATTTCTCTGCCCACCCCACAACCCCAACCAGACTTCACTTCCTGCCATTCCCAACCCCCAGCTTAAGGTAGGAGAATGGCCATATGGCTTTGGTGTGGTGGTAGTTTCCCCATTCTCTGCCTCAGTTTCCCCATCTTCCTTCCACCCAGGATTGTTTTAAGATGAACCTATGGTTAGATTAGCATAAAGCATGGTCTGAACATCAGAGATGACATAGCTGTTTGTGTCGACTGCTCATGTTCCCAGCCCCCCAGGGGTTGGGCTTCTGTGACCTCCAGCCTCCAGTTTTGGTTCTCCACCAGTCCTGGCACTTGGGAGGGAGCTGACCTGCAGCTGCTAGCACAGACAACCCTGGGCATCTGACACTCTATAAATAACCAAGGCCCAGTGCAGCTGGAGGCAAGATTGGAAACCCAAGTTGCTGGTGGGGGCTGGAGGGGCAGGGGGGACAGGGACAGAGCTGGGGAGGCAGAGCCGCAGCACCAGGAGCAGATAGGAAAGACTGCCCAAGCTTCCTGGTGACCTTGAACACAGCACTCAACTTACATGGTGCCTCAGTTTCTCCCTCTCTCTTGCTTCCCATTTTTCTAATGGGGACAGTAGTGCCTGTCCTGTGGTTAGAGAGCCGCCCCCGTAACTGGGAAGAGCTTGAGAGGCAGGAAATGGCACATATCAGTCCCATGATGAGGACCCCAGGACTTCCCAAACTTTCCAGAGTCTTTTGTCACCCCACCATCATGCAGAGTTTTTCTTTTACAGTCTCACCTCTCTCTAGGGTAGTACTCCAATGTCCCCCACAGTGATTCTTCCCAACCCCCAATGCTGTCCCCAGAATGCTTCCACACTGTCATCCGGCCCTGTGCCCATGATGGGCTCTTGTCACTCTAGGTGGCCAAGCTCCAGGTGCCTTCAGCACCTGGAAGACAAGCTACCATCTACTCTCTATATATGGTGCTGTTTCTCCTGCCCTACAGTCCGACCAAGGACCTGCTTCCTATGCTGTGTCCAAGTGCTGCCCCCAGCCCCTCCCCCCACCTCCTTTCCCTACACAGGTCCTCTCTCCTTTCCACTCTGAAATCTCAGGGTCTCTGTGTCCTTGTTTTTGACAGAGAAAGGGGATAACCTAATATTTATGGAATGTGGACCCTGTGCAGGCAATGTACTCAGTGCTTTCTGCATGTTATTTTACAATTTCCCAAACTTGGCTTATCATCAGAATCACTCGGGGGCTTTAAAAAAAAAAGAGAAGATTCCCAAGCCCCCGCCCTACACATCCCAATTCAGTGGATCTAGCATGGAGTAAGAGAACCTGTTTAGTTTTATGAGTCTCACCGAAGGTCCTGTTGATTAACTGAGTATTAAAAGCAGTGGATTATCTCAGAACAGCCTTAAGAAGGAGGAACTGTTATTGTTAACTCCAACTTGTGAAGGAGGAAACTGAAGCTTAGAGAGGCTAAATAAGTTGCCCACAGTTACACAGGTGTTGAGTGGCTGAGCCGTGGCTCAAAGACAATCTGACTCAGAGCCGATGCTCTTAACACGTGGCTGCCCTGCTCCTCTCATTTTCCTTTACTGGCGCTCGCCTTGCTCTGCCCTTTTTCTCAGTGTTTGACCAGTTTTTATGGATTTTTTCCAAAACCTCCATGGTTTTGCCTCCTACTGCAAGCCCAGGGGCTGAGTAGACATCCCTCACACTGCCCCTGCATTGCCCCCAGCTCTCTGCTGGCCTTGGCAGGGAGCCCCTTGCTACAGCCATGGGTATTCCTTATAGGCCTGCCTCTTGGGCTTCTTGCTGGGAGTCTGCCTTACAGCTGATGACAGATGACATCACTGAACTTGATACTTTTTTTTTTTTTTTTTTTTGAGATGGGATCTTGCTATGTTTCCCAGGCAGGGCTCCTGGGGTCAAGCTGAACTCCCGCCTTAGCCTTCGGAGTAGCTGGGATGACAGGCATGCACCACCATGCCCAGTATCACTGAGCTTGATTCTGTGACGGGCTATTCTTAGCAGCAGTGATGTCTGGTTGGCCTGATTCTCCTCCCATCCCCTTACCTGGGCCAGGCTTTGCTGTGTAGGAATCAGAGCTGCATCAGACCTGGCCCCAGCACTTGAAGTGCTCCCACAGGGAACAGGAGGACTTGTGTGCAGGTGACCTTTGGGAGACTAACTGTGCACAGTGCAGGAGAGGCCCTGCAGCAGGGGAGCGGAGCTTGTCAAGCAAGGAATGCATGTATTTTTTTGTTTTTTTGAGATGGAGTTTCGTTCTTTTTACCCAGGCTGGAGTGCAGTGGCACGACCTCAGCTCACTGCAACCTCCGCCTCCTGGGTTCAAGTGATTCTTGTGCCTCAGCCTCCCAAGTAGCTGGGATTACAGGCATGCGCCACCATGCCTGGCTAATTTTTTATTTTTAATAGAGACAGAGTTTCACCATGTTGGCCAGGCTGCTCTCAAACTCCTCACCTCAGGTGATCCACCCGCCTCGGCCTCCCAGAGTGCGGGGATTACAGGCGTGAGCCACCATGCCCGGCCTGAATGCACATTTTTTACTGGAGCACAGTCTGGGCAGAAGATGATTGGTTGGGGAAAAATCACATAGAATGTCTAGAAACCAGGAAGCCTCAGTTCTTTCTGAGAAGAATCTCGCCATCCTCTGGAGCCTCTCTGATCCTTATCCAAGGCTAACAAGGCCTTTTTGACCCCTGACCTCTGACCCACAGGCTGAGGCAGATGTGGCCTCCCTGAACCGCCGCATTCAGCTGGTTGAGGAGGAGCTGGACCGGGCCCAGGAGCGCCTGGCTACAGCCCTGCAGAAGCTGGAGGAGGCCGAGAAGGCGGCTGATGAGAGCGAGAGGTGGTCAGGGGCCTCGGGGAGGATGGTCCGGGAGGGAGAAGGGAGCCTGTCTCTGCTGGTCCTGACCCTACGCTCACCCTCTCCCTGCCTTTCAGAGGAATGAAGGTCATCGAAAACCGGGCCATGAAGGATGAGGAGAAGATGGAACTGCAGGAGATGCAGCTGAAGGAGGCCAAGCACATCGCTGAGGATTCAGACCGCAAATATGAAGAGGTGACAGCCTTGCCCCTCTGCCTGCTCGCTGCCCAGCCTGCAACATGCCCAGTCCTTCTCCACTGATCTACCCTCTCTTTCTCACTCCCCACAGGTGGCCAGGAAGCTGGTGATCCTGGAAGGAGAGCTGGAGCGCTCGGAGGAGAGGGCTGAGGTGGCCGAGAGGTAAAGATACCCGGGGGTGACAAGTGAGCCCATTGGCCCTGGGGCCTTCCACACAGTGGGAAGGTAGCATCCTAGGCTTGGGGCTGTAGGGACAGGCCCTGTTCTCTGACCCCTGCCCGCTGCCCCCAGCCGAGCCAGACAGCTGGAGGAGGAACTTCGAACCATGGACCAGGCCCTCAAGTCCCTGATGGCCTCAGAGGAGGAGGTAGTGACCCCTCTGAACCTTTCTGGGCAATGGCGCCTTCTCTCAGCTCACCTTCCCTCCGTCTCAGCACCGCAGGCTGCTCTTTCTCAGCTGCTGGGGATCAGGAAGGGCCTGGGGCTTCTGAGCCCTGCCTGCTGTCACTCTCACAACTTTGCTCTTCTCTTCTCTCCTCCACCCGTCCCCTGCTGTGCCATCTCCACTGTCTGGCTTCGCTGTGCCCTCACACCCTGCCCCCCCCGCCACACACCCCCTGCAGTAAATGTGGGGACCTAGAGGAGGAGCTGAAAATTGTTACCAACAACTTGAAATCCCTGGAGGCCCAGGCGGACAAGGTAGAGGGGAGCAGAGGGGCAGTGAGGATGGGGTCCCACAGGGGAGGGAGGTGAGGGGCCCAAGGCAGGGAGGGGCTGGGTGTTCAACGGAGGCAAGATGACCAGGAGCCTACGGGGTACAATGGAGAAATGAAGGATCTGTGGTAGCGCTGTACTGATGGCGTGTGTGTGTCCCCAAAAGTATTCCACCAAAGAAGATAAATATGAAGAGGAGATCAAACTGTTGGAGGAGAAGCTGAAGGAGGTGAGAGTCCTCTTCCAGTTCCCAGTCTCCCCTCAAGCCACCCTAATCCTTGCCAGAGACGGCCTGTGGCAGGACACTTGAGGGTTGGGATGGACAAGAAGCTTGACTTAGGCAGTAGTCTGTGGGAGGGCCTAATTCTTTGCCATTTCTCCCATCCTGCCTTTACCCCCAGGCTGAGACCCGAGCAGAGTTTGCCGAGAGGTCTGTGGCAAAGTTGGAGAAAACCATCGATGACCTAGAAGGTAAAAGAAGCCTTTATAAGTAGGTCCACACCTGCCGTGATTATCAGTCTGTCCTGTACCTTCTCATCCCATTTTATTTGCCACCAATAAACTAGGGTTGGGCCACCTAGGACCCTACCAACTCCCCAACTCTGTGGGCCATGTCTACAATTCAAGTAATTGTAGCTGCCCACGGCGCAACAACTCCAGTGCTTCTCAAACTTCAGCATGCATGAGAATCACTGGGAGAGTTTTAAAAACAGATTCCTTGACTCTGCCCCAAAGAGATTGCTGACTTTGGGCTGGAGGATTTACATTTCTAGCTAGTTCTCTGGTACTGCCAATGCTGCTGGTCCTCATGCCACACTCTGAGTGGCACCCTTATAGACAATTCCGTCCCCGAGTGTAACGCAGTAGAGTTCTAGTGCAGAGACTGGCTTATTAACTAGAGAGCTGTTGGACTGAACATCTAGGTCTGCATGACAGCACTAATAGAAAACACTATTTTAAGCTAGATTTGACAAAAGCAAACATCCAGATATTTGTGAGTCTGTGGCTATTTCTATTGTTAATGATGATGTGGCTAAAGTTGCCTTTCCTTTTTATTCTGTGATAACCCTTTCACTTTCCCACTTCTCTCGCTTCCAGCCTTCTCAGGCAAGCTCCAATTTTACCTCCAGCTTTAGGAGGTTTGCCCTTTCTGGCTCCAGCACCCTCCCTCTCCCCTCTAAGCAAGCACTCCTGCTTGTCGAGAGCATTGTACACACAGCTCCCTGGAGAGGCAGGAGCTGCCATGGGTAGAGCCAATTTGGGGTACAGAGAAGGACAGAAAAGAGATGGGGTAGAGATGGGGAGAAGGAGTTCCTGACAGCTGTCCAGCCTGTTCCCTGGCCTCCCTCTCTCACTCTGTCTTTGTGTACCTCTGATTCTGTTTTTCTTTCCATTGCTCTCTCTCCTTCCTTTCCTCTTTCCCTCCACTCCCTTTCCCACACTCCCACCTGGTCCCCTCCCTGGACCCCCCCCAGATGAAGTCTATGCCCAGAAGATGAAGTACAAGGCCATTAGCGAGGAACTGGACAACGCACTCAATGACATCACCTCCCTCTGAGCCCCACGCCAGCGTGGCCACCTCAGCTCTCTTCTCTCCTCTCCTTTCCATTCTCTCTATGGGGAGGGGAGCAGGCAGGAGGAGCAGAAATTGCCAACATTGCACAGCCAGGCTGGGAGCAGCCTAGGGAGAGCCCCCATCATGCCCACCACCCACTCTGGCACTGGCTTCATCCTTTACCTATCCCCTTCCACCCTCCTTTGCTGCTTAATAAATTCTGAACTTGGTCTCCATGCTGTTTTCCTGCCCTCCAGAGAGCACCTCTATCGCCACCACGGAGCACTGGTTCACTCCTGACACCCTGGCACTTACTGACACCCCCAGCCCCTGCACTGAGCCCACCCACAAAACACCATGGCCCACGCTGAAACCCCTCTGCACAGGCACTCCCTGGCTGTCGCTCTCTGATTCACCACTGCATGTGGGCACGTGTGGCCCCATCAAACCATGACCGCCTCTGGTGCCAATCCCTGACCTCAGAGCACTTAGCTGGGGTTCCAGGATCAAACAGAGTGACTGGAAAGGAAGTAGGGTGGTGAGGTGCAGGACAGGGGCAAGAAGGTTGCAAAAGGTCTGGAATGGAGCTTGGAAAAATGTTGGATATCAGCAACATGGGGCTTTCACTGCAGCAGCAGGTCTGTTTTCTACCTCAAGTCTGTCTGTCTGGCCCTTCCTTTCCTGGCGCAGTCTTTGTCTTACCTTCTGTCTCCAACTTCCTTAAACCTTCTAAAGAAGAGGATAAAGTAGTTTATGACTCAGCCCTCCCCACCCCACCTCTATGACCCCAAGGCCTTGAGTGAGGCATCCACGTCCGTCCTGTTCCCCTCATCCTAGTCAGTCCATCTGTTTGTCCCTGCCAAGGGGCCCTGAGGTCCGTGAATGCATGTGTCTTCCTTGACCCACTCCATGTCTATATGTCACCTTCCCCTGGCCCTGCCTCCCCACGTCTCCCCCTTGTGTCTCCCTTCTCCCTCACCTGCTGCTTCCCCTCACAGAGACCTTGGCCAGTGCCAAGGAGGAGAACGTCGAGATTCACCAGACCTTGGACCAGACCCTGCTGGAACTCAACAACCTGTGAGGGCCAGCCCCACCCCCAGCCAGGCTATGGTTGCCACCCCAACCCAATAAAACTGATGTTACTAGCCTCTCAAGGCCCTTTAATCCTTTCTTTGGTGTTGGCAATGGAGTTTGAGGGACCCCTGAATGAGCAGGGCCTGGGTCCTTGCTCTGCATTGGGACTTCCTTTTCAGGGGAAACTGGGATGGAGGGCCTGGGCTCATTGAGGAGGGGCTGTGAACAGGCTCTGTGAAGCAGGGAGTCTGACAGGACTGGGGGACATCGTGGGCCTTGTGCCCTACAGGCAGAGGAGCTGCCATCCATAGCACCGCCCTGTTCCAGCAGCCAGCTGGGCCAGACAGCACGTCCTGAAGCAAAAACTGCAAGAAGTGACACATTTTCCTTGAGCAGGGTGAAAACCCAAAAGCCTGAGTGTGATGTTAAGCCTAGGGCTGCTGTCTGCCCTACCCCTCAACACATACACTGCACACACACACAAACACACACACACACACAGCCATCCCAACAGTATCAGTCATTTCTGTCCTCTTCCTGATAGCATCTGTGGTAGGCAGAATAATTCCCCTTCTCCAAAGATGTCCATGTTCTAATCCTGTGCATTGTTCTTATCTTACATGGGAAGAAACTTGGTGATTAAGATTTTGAGATGGGATGATTATCCTTGGTTATCTAGTTAGGCCCAGTGTAATCCCAAGGGTTCTTGAGGAGACAAGGAGGTCAAATGTGGAGGTAGGAGTTGTGACAATGGGAGCAAGAGATTGGAGTGATGTGTGGAAGGAGGAACAAGCCCTACTGACATCTGACTGCTGACCTCCGAACTGTAATAGAATAAATGCATTACCACTAAATTCGTGCTAATAACAGTAATAGGAAATTCAAATACCATCCTTCTGATTTGGGGAACAAAGGTGACTAACACATATTTTATTATAAATATTTATTTTAAAAAATTTCTTGGCAGTTAAAAGGAAGTGGCATAATGAGCAGGACAGGACAGTTACCGGCTCCCCCTCAGATGCCTCTGGCTGGCTTCTCACATTCTCCAAGATCCAGCCTCTAGGCTCCAGTCTCGGCTACCTCTGCTGGGCGGTAGCTCACACCCCCTTTGGTTCCCCTTCTGTGTGTACACAACAGGAAAGGCTAATCAGAAAACTGGCCCAGGAGCAGCTCATTTGCATGCGCTTTGCATGAAGTGACTCCACAAGGGTGGGGGAAGCTTGTGCCTGAAGAAAGGGTCAGTGTAATACCTGTGCTGCCTTCTCATCTGCACAAGGAACGCGACGCTGGTGACAGCAAAAAGGAGGCCAAAAACCAGGGCTAGGATGTCACCTGCGATGGAGAGCAGAGAGGGCTGCTTTGGGAAGGAAGAGGGGTCTGCAGAGTTCCTCAACACCTGCCTCAGTGCACTCCACCACCCCTGCCCCGAGTTCTCAGGCAGCCCCTAGTGCCTCAGTCTCCAGAAGAGGCCAGCCAAGGGATGAGGGTGGATACACGAGAAGGGGTAAGATAAGCACCGTTTTTGCTTCCTAAAAGCCAAGTAAAAGGGCCGTTTGGGGCCAGGCACAGTGGCTCATGCCTACAGTCCCAGTGCTTTGAGAAGCTAAGGTGAAAGGATTGCCTGAGCCTAGGAGTTCGAGGCTGCAGTGAGCTATGATCGTGCCACAACACCCCAGCCTGGGCAACAGAGTGAGACCCTATCTTTAAAAAAAGGGGGGGGATTGTTTTGCGAGAGGGATGCTGGGAGATTTCTCAAGCTTCATTCTAATCAATTAGCCTCTGGGGACAATGGGGGAATCCCCACCATGATCTGCCTCTCTAATATTGGGGTTGGGGTCTGTTCTGCAGAAAAGGAGAGGGAGCAGAGGCGGTCCTGAGCAGCCCTGGGGCTGAATGGTGCTGAGGAGTCTCCTGGCATCAGGACCAAGAGGAGGGGCAGACTCACCAGCAGCCAGGCAGGAATTCAGCTGGACTGGAGAGAAAAAGGAGATGTGAGAGGCGGGCTGTGACCACCAATGACAGACACTGGCACACACATGGGAGGATAAGGGACTACTGGCTGGGGGGAAACCAGACAAAGCTGTACCTGGCTCAGCAGCCCGAGGACTGCTGTCCACTCCAGCAGGGAAGGAGGCCTCAATCACTCGCCCATTCAAAGGCTGCGTCGCTCGGAAGTTCAGCTGTAGCCGAGAGTCACCAGGTCCCCACAGGGTGTCAGAGAGGGTGTGGAGCTAGGGAGGTCAGTGGACAGTGTGGGTGGGTTCATGGCATGACAGGAAACAAGGGTCCCAGGCCAGCTCACAACCAGCACCTCAGGGCTCCACCCTCCAGCTCCTGTATTCCCCATCCAGCCTCTTGATTTCTTTTATAAATAAATAAATGTATCCTAAAGATGGTAGGCAGTGGTGGGATCATAGCTCACTGCAGTCTCAAACTCCTGGAATCAAGCGATCTTCCCACCTCAGCCTCCTTGAGTAGCTGGGACTAGGCGCATACCACCATGCCCGGCTATTTTTGGTTTTGTTGGGGTTTTTTTGGTAGAGATGGGGTCACACTATGTTGCCCCGCCTTGTCTTGAACTCCTGGGCTCAAACCATTCTCCCACCTCAGCCTCCCAACGTGGTGGGATTATAGGCGTAAGCCACAGAGCCCAGCCTTGATTTCTTTCTTCTCCTGTTTCTCATCTCATCTTACATCCTCTTTCCCCCGCACCCACTGTGTCCACACACACCCCAGGCCCACCTGCTTAGCACTCAGCATCACTGTCTGGTTAAACACAGTCCAGATGACACCCTGGGCACAGGGCGGTGTAGTCAGAGACCCCTCATATTGGAAGTAGCGGCTGAAGTCAGAGGGCAGGAGTGCAGATATGTCCAGTCCTGGGACCTGAGTCTCTGAGCCTGTGAAGAGGATCTATGTTGGGGTCTCATCTACATTGCACCCCCTTAAAGCTTCAGGGTATAGGGATACAGTTTCACCTCCCAGAAGCCAAGGTAACTCAACTCTGAGACCACTTCTTCGCTAAGTGCAGGCCCTTCCCATAAGACGTAACTCAAAAAAAAGTACAGGGCTTTGGAGCAACTGGAAGAGGCCTGAGGAAGCAAGAGAGGAAGAAAGAAAGGAAGGAGAGAAGGGAAGGTGGGAGGGAAGGGAGGAAGGAAGAGAAGGAAAGAAGAAAGACCGTCTGAGTCTACACTCTTAACTCTGTGTACCATCATAAAGTGCTGGGCCACAAGTTTAAGCCCAGAGCAAATTAAAAAGAAAAAATGAATCCCAGCACTTTGGGAGGCCGAGGCTGGTGGATCACAAGGTCAGGAGTTTGAGAGCAGCCTGGCCAATATGGTGAAACCCTGTCTCTACTAAAGATGTAAAAAAAAAAAAAAAGAAAAGAAAAGAAAAAATGATCTGAATAACTTGTAAATAAATATGAATATTGATAACTATACAAAACAGACACAAGAAATGCAAAGGCAGAGTTCTACCTAGTCTAGCAGAAACCTAAAAGGTCTAGTAGAGTAAGTGAGATTTAAAATGACCCAAGAGTGACTAAGAAGAGAACGATTTCCAACAAAAGTATTTACAAAGTTAAAATATTTGATGCTTATTAAAGATAAACAGTTCTCAGAAAAAGTTTAGCTCTCCAGACTTGACCTTGACAATTCCAAACACCATTTTTTGGTCTTGTTTTTTTTGTCTCATTTTGGTTTTTGCTTGGTTTTCTTTTTTTTTTTTTTTTTTGAGACAAGAGTCTCGCTCTGTTGCCCAGGCTGGAGTGCAGTGGCACGATCTCGGCTCACTGCAACTTCTGCCTCCCGGGTTCATGCCATTCTCCTGCCTCAGCCTCCCGAGTAGCTGGGATTACAGGCACCCGCCACCACGCCTGGCTATTTTTTCGTATTTTTAGTAGAGATGGGGTTTCACCATGTTGGCCAGGATGGTCTTGATCTCTTGACCTCGTGATCCACCTGCCTTGGCCTCCCAAAGTGCTGGGATTACAGGCGTGAGCCACCGTGCCCGGCGGTTTTTGCTTGGTTTTCAATCTGTAGGCAGCCGTTTGCGGGTAACTGTGTCTGTCAGCTTCATGGTTATTATCAAGATGAGCGCTGGCTCATGCTTCAATCCCTCCTGCACTGGAGGGAGCCCATCTCCAGCCTCAGACCTGAAGCTCCAAAGGGTGATTCTTTATGAACTAGGCCACAGAGATTAGTGGCCAGACCAACAAACTGACCTTCCTCAGCGATTTCTTCCAAGCGAGACAGCAACTGCTCATAGGCACTGTTTTCTTCCGGGCCCTCCTGGGGGATGACATTGTAAGACAGATGAGTGCATGTATCCAGGGCCATGGCTGAAGGCCGGAACATGAAGGGGGGTTCCCATAGACCTCTCCCATTCCTCAGCTCTGAGAATGCTGAGGGAACATAAAATTGTAATGGTTGTTGCTTTTTGTTGTTGCTGTTGTTTTTTTTTTTAGAGACAGTGTCTCCCTCTTAAAATCCTATGTATTATTTCAAACTCTATGTACTCTTGCTGTGCGAACCAACAAGCTTGGTGGACTGGTTTTCAATGACAAGCTGGAGAGAGAGGGAGAGAGCCCACTTTACTTAGGATACTAGGCTCTCAGTGACCCGTGCCCTTCTGACGTTTGCAGTCTCACTCACTGCTGCCTCCGTACATACTCCCCACAGGAAACCATATATACACCTTTGTGTTGGTGTCACCTCTGCATTCACCTTCATGATTCTGTGTTTGGCTTTTCAG
The DNA here is from genome assembly GCF_000001405.40 of Homo sapiens. Classification (NCBI taxonomy): domain Eukaryota; kingdom Metazoa; phylum Chordata; class Mammalia; order Primates; family Hominidae; genus Homo; species Homo sapiens. The sequence continues at coordinate 35,677,326 of NC_000009.12, read as the reverse complement.
GTGAGGTCCTGACATGCCACTTCTTTTATTTATTATTCTTTTTTCTTATTTTGCTTATGAACCTAATGTTAAGAACATTATGAACCTAAGAGTATGAACATATTGACATGCTATGATGGAGGCATTTCTCTGAACTTTGTGCTGTGTGGCTGGCATTAAAGAATCAGTGAGTGTGGCTGGGCACGGTGGCTCACACTTGTAATCAGCACTTTGGTAGGCTGAGTCAGGCGGATCACTTGAGGCCAGGAGTTTGAGACCAGCCTGACCAACATGGTGAAACCCTGTCTACTAAAAATACAAAAAAAAATTAGCTGGGCATGGTGGCACACACCTGTAACCCCAGCTACTCAGGAAGCTGAGGCAGGAGAATCCCTTGAACCCGGGAGGCGGAAGTTGCAGTGACCCAAGATCACACCACTGCACTCCAGCCTGGGCGACAGAGAGACTGTCAAAAAAATAAATAAATAAATAAAAGTGAGTGAGTGAACCTAGCAGGCATCTCACCATCCCTTCCCTTTACTGGCCTCCTCTAATCATGGTGTATGTAGCCATTCCCTAAATAGGCCATATTCTGAGTCTTTGCACATTCTGTTTCCTCTGCAATGAACACCTCCTTTTCTTTTCTACCAGTGAAGGCTTTAAGTGTCACCTCCTCTGTGACCACCATCTTTACTATGTCCTTCCTATGTGTCTGTCATGTCAGCCTCCCCCACTGGCTGTGGGCTCCTTAGAGGCAAGGACCTACAGCTTCAGAATCCTTGTTGGGGGCTGGTGCCTGGTTCACAGTGGGTGTTAAATGAACAAACAGTGCGTGAATGAGTTTGTCAGCCAGGGGCCTGAGTGAGCTTGCTGGGATGGGGTCTCTGGCTCCACGATAGAGTCCGGGAGGAGCATGGGATGGGAAAGCGGGGAGTAGGGGGTGTCCAGGATCTGGTACCTCCAGAAAGGCGGCCAACACGGCCAGGCCTCCCGGGCGCCCCAAGGCCTCGTCAACTCTGGCAAAGGCGGTGCTGAGGTGAACCACGTGGATCTGAAAAGGACACGAGGGTAGGAGAGGGCCACGTCTCTGGCCCCGCTCCGCCCCGCTCCTTTGCCCCTTCTCGGCCAGCTCCGCGCTCACCTCGGCAGGGAAACGGTGGCCTTCCACAGTGTGCTCCGAGCCCGGACGACCTGCAGCCCCCCAGTGCAGATGCAGCTGCAGAGCCCGGTACTCCCGCCCGGGACCCAGAGCCATCTCTAGCCCAGGAGGCAGGGTCAGTTGCACTGCGTAGGGAGAGGCAAGTGAGCCGGCCCCGCCCGGTAGGGCCAGCCCAACCCCCGGGCAGGCACTGCCGCGACGGTTCCCTTCCCTGCGCCCCGCCCCATCCCCAAGTCTCGGCGGGGAGACCCCCTCACCACTGTGGCCATTGTTGCGCAGGCGCAGTTCTGGGAGCGGCGGGAGCTGGAAGCCCAGGAGTTCCAGGGGGCGCAGGGCCGGGCAGAAGGCGGCGAGCTGGGGGCGGATATCCACCGGGGACTGGAAGCGGCCCGCGCAGGCTGGGGACACCCGGGGCCAGGGCGGGTCGCCTGGGGTGGGAGAGTATAGTGAGGAAGTCTGACGCCTAGGTCAGGAACTTAGGGAACCCGGGTAGAAAAGGTGAGGGGGTGGGACGGTGGGCGGCGGGTGGGACGCCCGGGACCAGTGTTCAGGGACGGCTGTAGGGGAGATCCACAGAGCTGGGTTCCCAGATTGGGTCTGTGCAGCGGGTGGGTGTCTCACCTCCATAGCGCCAATGACTCTGGTCATCCCCTGTATAAATGAAAAGGATGAACCGCTCAAGCTTAGAGCCCCAATCCCTTCCTGGCGACCAAAACGATGTCACAAACGCAGATGCCTTACAGGAGCATTACGGGTAACAAATGCCTTAAGCGGGCCAGGTGCAAAGCACAGGAGACCGCACCCAAACTCAACACCGCAGCTGGGTGGGCCAAACAGCAATCCTACCAGCTTGCAATCATTGTCTTAGGGTCTGTAAAAGTGAGTGGCTGCTTCAGGCCAGGCGCTGTGGCTCACGCCTATAATCCCAGCACTTTGGGAGGCCAGGGTGGTTGGATCACCTGAGATCAGGAGTTCGAGACCAGCCTGACCAACATGGCGAAACCCCGTCTCTACTAAAAATACAAAAATTAGCCGGGCGTGGTGGCGCATGCCTGTAATCGCAGCTACTTGGCTAGAGGCTGAGGCAGGAGAATCACTTGAACCCGGGAGGTGGAGGTTGCAGTGAGCCGAGATCGCGCCATTGCACTCCAGCCTGGGCAACAAAAGTGAAAGTTTGTCTCAAAAAAAAAAAAAAAAAAAGTGAGTGGGCACTTCAGTCCTGAGTCCCAAATGAGTGAGTACACCATCTTTCCTTTCTCCCTTCTTTCTTCTCCCCACTCATCCCTCTGCCTTGTATGGTCTCCAACCCCTTTCCCCAAATTCCTGGCTTGGGAGTCAAGAAGCCACGTTTCTCTACCTGCTGTGTCCCTTCTTCCTAGGTCTCAATTTCCTCATTGTAGCCTAAGATGAGATGACTTCTACCAGCTCTTCTTGCTTGTCTCTGGTACCCACTTCACCTCCCAAGCTTTCCTTTTCTCTTCCCCTCAAACTCTCTGACTCTCCTTCTCCACCTATTTTTTTCCTCTGTCTGCACATTTTTTCTCTCATCTGCAGTTCTCATCCCTTTCTCTTCTCCAGCCTCCCCCTTCTCTCCCATCTCATCCAGCTCACCTCTCTCCTTTTGCACCCTTTTTATTTTCTCTCCACATCTGTCCCTTTCTACCTCCGAGAGTGGGGATGGGGATATTGGTATGGGACCTCTGGAAGGGCTTCTGTGGGGAGTACAGTCTCCCCTCCTTCCCTGAGTGAACAGAGCCTAGGCTGGGGTATGGGAGGGGAGTCATGAACCTCCTGGAACCTGGATTTGGAGATTGATGACCACTTACCTTCTTTGTCCCTGTGGGCATTATTCTGGGGTTCTTGAGGATCTCCAGGAGCCTCAACAGTAGGTAGATCCTCTAACTTCAGGGAGCCCTCTTCTTCTGATTTAGGCTTAACTTCAGGTAGATCCTCCTCTCCAGGTAGATCCTCCTCTCCAGGTAGATCCTCCTCTCCGGGTGGATCCTCCTCTCTGGGTGAATCCTCTTCACTGGGCAGATCCTCCTCGCCCAGTGGGTCATCTTCCCCAGAAGAGCCTCCTCCCAAGGGGGAATCCTCCTGCATCCGGGGCAACCTCTGGGGATGGACAGGCACCAGAAGCAGCAGTGACAGCAGCAGTTGCACAGTGAGGCCTGGAGCAGGGGCCGGGATCAACAGAGGGAGCCAGGGGCTGGGGCACAGGGGAGCCATGCGGCTGACTGTGGGGTGTCCCAGCACACGGTGTGTACGGGCTGTACGTGCATTGGAAACGAGAGCTGGGTGGGGGAGGAGCAAGCCTGGAGGGGAGCAGGCTGACTCACAGAGCGCCCTTTTGCAGAGATGGAGCCAAAGTCTCACAGGTTTGTCTGGCCCTGTGCCCTCTCCCCCATACCAAAGCTAGGATGGGGGTGGAGTGAGGGGCAGGTGTGTGCACAGGCAGAAGGTTATCGGGGCCATGGACTCAGCTTGGAACCCAAGGCACCACCTGGCACTATGCAGGCTCTCCCTGGCACCACCCAGCTGCTTGCCAGCCAGCCTCAGCTAACCCTGGCCTGCTTCCCAGCTCCAGGCACAGAAGGGGAAAGGCAGGGGAGCTGGGGCCCCCATGTCCTCTGGCTGAGAGGGAAAGCAGCTCATGTATACATCCCTGACTCCACCAGGAAGCAGGTAAAGAGGTAGGGCAGGCTGCTAGGGGAGCCCGAGGGTGAGTTAAGTAATGGGTATGTGGGAGACAAACTTGAGCTTGAATGAAAAGCAAGTGTATGTGTCAGAGGGGCTCTGATAGGTTTAACCTATATTTATTTTTCAACACATTACTCTCCTGCTCAAAAGCCTTCATTGGCTCCCCACTGCCTGCCACGATATGCACATTGTGTACTTCTGACTTCCAACTTCCTTCAAAACCTTGCCCAAGAGACCTTTCCATCTTGTCTCCTACTACTCTCCCTCATACTCTAGCCAAATTAAACTATTATTTTTTTCTCCAAACCTTTTACCACCTTTGTTAATCTAGTTCTTGCTCCCTGAAATGCTATTTACTATTGCATTCAACAAATATTTATTTAGTACTACCATAGGTCCAGCACTGGGCTATGGACTAGGGACATGGAAATGAATAAGACACGGTCCCTCATTTTGGGAGGCTGAGGTGGGTGGATTGCTTGAGTCCAGGAGTTCGAGACCAGCCCGGGCAACATGGCCAAACCCTGTCTCTACTAGAAATACAAAAAAATTAGCCAGGTGTAATGGCATGTGCCTGTAGTCCCAGCTACTCAGGAGGCTGAAATGGGATGATGGTTTGAGCCGAGGCGGTTGAGGCTGCAGTGAGCTGAGACTGTACCATTGCACTCTGGCCTGGGTGACAGAGCAAGACCCTGTCTCAAAAAAGAAAAACAAAAACAAAAACAAAAAACGCTACCTGCCCTGAGCAGCTCACAATCTAGTGAGTGAGGGCAAACCCTGTCAATATCATCATATTGAGGGAAGAGAGATGAATTCTGCTTTAGAAGATAATATAGAAGTAGGCAAATTTGATCATGTCCTTGAAGAAATACCAGTTCCATTGGTAAAAACAATAGGGAGAATGATATTCTGGGCAAAGGGAAGGCATAAAATATTATGAGCAGGAGAGTGACAGAATCCAGTTCTCATACTAGGTCACGTTGAGGGCTTGAGGGCTAGTATGGAGCACAGATTGCAGGGGAAGACTGGGTGCAAGGAGATGGGGCAGAAGAGTGTGAGGACACCAAGAATGGGCTTAGGCCTCCCAGTTTTTTTCTTTTCTTTTCTTTTTCTTTTCTTTTCTTTCTTTTTTTTTTTTTTTGAGACAGAGTCGCACTCTGCTACCCAGGCTGGAGTGAAGTGGCGCGATCTCGGCCCACTGCAATCTCCACCTCCCAGGTTCAAGCGATTCTCTTGCCTCAGCCTCCTGGGTAGCTGGGACTACAGGCACCTGCCACCACGCCCAGCTAATTTTTGTATTTTTGGTAGAGATTGGGGTTTTGCCATGTTGGCCAGGCTTGTCTTGAACTCCTGACCTCAGGTGATCTGCCCGCCTTGGCCTCCCAAAGTGCTGGGATTACAGGCTGGTTTTTTTTTCTAATTAATTATTTTTAAAATTTATTTTAGAGATGGGATCTCACTGTGTTGCCCAGGCTGGAGGGCGGTGGCTATTTACAGGTGCGACCCTGTTACTGATCAGCATTGAGTTTTGACCTGCTCCAATTTCCACCTGGGTCAGTTCAACCATCCTTAGGCAACCAGGTTGATGCAGAACTTAGTGCAGACACCTGACTGGTATACTACACTACAGCCCAGAAATCCTGGGATCAAGTGATCCTCCTGCCTCAGCCTCCCAAGTAGCTGGGACTACAGGCACACGCCATCACACCTGGCTAGTCTGCCCTTTTAACAATTTATTAAGCCTCCGCCAGTCCTTCAGGTGCTGTTCTAGGCCCTACAGATGCAGCATTGAATAGAGAATAGCTCTACTGTTTTGTAGCTCACATTCTAGTAAGGCTCCATTGGCTTAAACAAACTAAAAGAGAATAAGGCCATTTCAGGTCCATATCTAGGGCTAATATTCAGTAGGCACCCACCAATATGGTTGTGTAGGTTAATTAAATACATTAAGATATTTCTAATCCTGTTGGCATATAGCCATGGCCCCTAGCTCCAGGGTACCCCTGCTACCCTAGCTCTTCCTTAGGGACCCTCCAGACCTCCTGATCCCTTATCTAAAGAGGTATTCCCTGGCATAACAGAGTCCCCAGGAGCCCACTTGAGTGCCTCAGCCACCTTCAACTCTGATAGGTCAGTGCTTGTGCACTTGCTGCTGTGTCACAAATAGTTTTACTGGCCAGGTGCAGTGGCTCATGCCTCTAATACCAGCACTTTGGGAGGCCGAGGTGTGCAGATCACCTGAGGTCAGGAGTTCGAGACCAGCCTGGCCAACATGGTGAAACCCCGTCTCTACTAAAAATACAAAAATTAGCTGGGCATGGTGGCAGGCACCTGTAATCTCAGCTACTCAGGAGGCTGAGGCAGGAGAATCACTTGAACCTGGGAGGCAGAGGTTGCAGTGAGCCGAGATCGCGCCACTGCACTCCAGCCTGATCGACAGAGTGAGACTCTGTCTCAAAAACAAACAAACAGACAAAAATCGTCGCTAACATAGTGAAACCCCGTCTCTACTGAAAAAAAAAAAAAAAAAAAATTAGCCGGGCGTGGTGGCGGCCGCCTGTAGTCCCAGCTACTCAGGAGGCTGAGGCAGGAGAATGGCGTGAACCCAGGAGGCAAAGCTTGTAGTAAGCCAAGATCGCGCCACTGCACTCCAGCCTGGGCGACAAAGCGAGACTGTTTCAAAAAAAAAAAAAAATTTTACTGTCCTCCCTGTCTAATCTCTTCTGTTCTTTGAAACTCAGATGAAAGGCCACCTCCTTCAGGAAACTCCTTAACCAACCCTCTACCACTAGTCTGGAAAAGATCCCTGGCATCTTTGAGCCAACCCAGTTCTTTGCCTGCCCTCAATAATAACTTTGTCCACCGTCTAACTCATATAAGGGTGATAACTCATTTTATCTGCTCTAACGGCCTTCAGCTCCATAAGGGCAGGGTCCGTACTTGATTGAGTCAGTCTTTTATTCAACAGCCATTATTGAGCATTTTCTTTTTGCAGATTACCTTGCCAGATGCTTGAGAAATACCAAATTGACTAAGATATATTCTCTGCCCTCAAGGAGCTCATTGTCAATGACCTGTGCATGTCCACAACTATCCCATAAACATGACATAACTTTTTACATTATTATTATTTTTGAGACAAGGTCTTACTCTGTCACCCAGACTGGAGTACAGTGGCGTCATAGCTCACTGCAGGCTTGATCTCCTAGGCTCAAGTGATCCCCCTGCCTCAGCCTCCTGAGTAGCTAGGACCACAGGCACAAGCCACCACCCCTGGCTAATTTTTTTATTTGTTTTGTAGAGATGGGGTTTCGCTATATTGCCCAGGTTGGTCTTGAACTCTTGACCTCAAGTGATCCTCTGACCTCAAGTGATCCTCCAACCTCAGCCTCCAAAAGAGTTGGGATTATAGGCGTGAGCCACCATGCCTGGCCCAACACCACATTTTTGTGGCACTCCAAATCATCTGTGTTGTCGGATGACTGTCATATTGTACAACAAAATATATATGACTGAATAACAGCTGTCCTCCAAATGGTCAACCTCAGATGTAGTCAGCCTAAGATTCTAGGGTGCCATTTCTGGAGCCAAATTCAGAGCTCTCCATGGCAGTGTGGTCCAGGGTACACTCTGGATGGCCAGCTGATTGTCTTGGTCAGCTCTGTCATTAGCTTGGAACTTGCTTGGCCCCTGACATATGGAAGTACATGGTAATATCTGAATTGGATGGGCCTATACAAGACAGAATGTGGTAACGACTAATCCAGCTCTCTGTTACAGCTCACTCATTTTTCAAATGCGATTCCCTATGGCTCTGTTTCTCTGTCTCTCTCGTCTCTGGTCTGAGTGGAGAATGTGGACTCTGACCCTGGATCATGCTGGGAGTCTGCCAAACCCTCAAACAGGTTTGAGTTATTGTTTCCTGAGTCTCCCCGGGTTGGGACAGAGTATACTCAGGACTGACTGACCAGGGCACCCCACACCTGGATCAGGACCTCTCTGTGGTTATTATAGGCCAAGTGTTTGCTCATGAGGGTTTGTGTTTTCAAACACTGAGGGGTCATGTTACTAAAACATGTCTCTGCCTATCCCAGCATGGCAGAGGAGGAAACTATTCACTGGTGGGGTAGAAGGGAAAATGCTCCCTCTCCCAAGCCATAGCTTGGGGGCAAAGACTGATCAAATTCCTTGTAGAACCTTGAGGCTGACTTGTAGTTCTGGCTACCTCCCCATCTATATTCATTTCCAAGGGCTGCTGTAACAAATTACCACCAAGTGGGTAGCTTAAAACAACAGAAATGGATTTTTTCACAGTTCTGGAGGCCAGAGTCTGAAATCAAGGTTTTGACAGGACTGGACTCTCTCTGAAGGCTCTGGGGAAGAATCCTTCCTTGCCTCTTCTAGCTTCTGGCGGCTCCAGGCATTCCTTGACTTGTAGCTGCATTACTCCAACTTCACATGGCCTTCTCTTGCCCCTGTGTCTCCACTGGGTGTCTCTCACTGAGACACTTGTCATTGGATTTAGGGCCTACCAACATAATCCAGAATGATCTCATCTCAAGATCCTTAACTAATTATGTCTGCAAAGACCCTTTTTCCCAACAAGGTCACATATACAGGTCTTGGGGATTAGGACATGGACATGTCTTTATATGGGGCCACCATTTAGTCCACCATCAGTGCAGGGGAACTGACGTGGACGCACAGGATGAGAAGGGATGAGTTCGTATTGAAGACTCTCATGCTTTTGCCCTTATCCTGCTACTTATCTTTGCAAGGCCGTGTCATCCACTCCCATGGCTCCTATAAATTGATGACACCCAAGTATTCCCAGGCTGGACTCTCTCCCCATGCCAGACCCATAACCATCTGCCTAATAGACAAGACCCAAGACATCTCCACTTGGATGTCCCACAAGTATTTCAAGTTTAACAGGCCCCAGGTTGAATTTGTCTTCCCCGCAAATCTCCTTTTCATCCTCCTTCAGTGAATAGCACCACCCTCCACCTAGAAGCCAGAAACCTGGTACCATCTCTACTTTCATCTTTTCCTTCACCCTAGCATTCAATAACCATGCCCTATGGATTCTACCTTCTAAATTTTTCATCTACATTTTTCATCTTGGCTCATACTTTCGTCACCTCTTACCTGGATGACTGCAACTGCCTCCTGATGGGTCTTGCTGAGTCCAGCCAACCAGAGTGATGTTTCTAAAATGGCACATCTGATGATCTCACTCCCTGTTTAAGGCCTTTCAATGGTTTCCCATTGCCCTTAGGATAAGGTTCACAGTACCTGACGTGGCCTTCAGAGGGCCGCCATTGCCCTGGTTTCCATGGTGGGCTTGTGACCTAGGGAGGTCCAATCAGTGAAGCTCTCTGTCTGAAGTATTTGATGGCTAAGGGAACCAACTCTGCGGACAACACATAAAGAAGCACACAGCCATTGTAACTGTGGGCAGCCATCTTGTACCCACAATGGAAGCCAGCCTTAAGATGAAGGTAAAACCATGGAAGGCACAGTGGAGTGGTGGAAAGAGGTCCTTGGTAACATGATTGAGCTGCTGGATTAGGCCAACACTAGGGCCCACCTGCTTCTGGACTTTTCAGTTGCATGAGCCAATAAATTATCTTAATGTTTAGCCACTTTGAATTTATTATTACTTATATCACAATTTTACTGATATAAATTCCTTCTAAGTTTGGCCTCTGTCTACCTCTCCAGTCTCCTTTGTCATCACTCTCTCCCTTGCAGTCTATGCTCTCATCTTACAGAACTTCTAGCAGTTCCTTAAATTCATCGTATGCTTGCATATGTGTGTGTCCAAGCCTTTGTCCATGCTGTTTGACTCTTTTTTCCACTTCCCTTGCTGCCAGCGCCCAGCTCTGCCTAGCCAGGTTTTATTCATCCTTCAGGTCATCAGTTCACATATCACTTCTTTGAGAAGAAGCCTTCCCTGACTCCTACACTAGGATCAGTCCCTTCACTGCATGCTTGTGTAGAAGACTACATGTCTCTTGTAATGTTTCCTCATTTTATGGTGACTCCTTACTGTATCTGCCATGCTGGAGTGTAAGCTCCCTGTGGGCAGGGGTCATATGTCTCTTGCCCACCATTTCATCTTCATGCCTAGCACAGGACCTGGCACATGATTGGCATTTAATTTTTTTTTTTTTTTGAGACAGAGTTCCGCTCTTATTGCCCAGGCTGGAGTGCGATGGCATGATCTCGGCTCACTGCAACCTCTGCCTCCTGGGTTCAAGCGATTCTCCTGCCTCAGCCTCCCAAGTAGCTGGGATTACAGGCACGTGCCACCATGCCCGGCTAATTTTGTATTTTTAGTAGAGACGGGGTTTCACCACATTGGTCAGGCTGGTCTCTGACAACACATAAAGAAGCACACAGCCATTGTAACTGTAACTCCCGACCTCAGGTGATCCGCCTGCCTCAGCCTCCCAAAGTGCTGGGATTACAGGCGTGAGCCACCATGCCCAGCCTAATTTTGTTGAATGACTGATGATTGTTGTTCAAAGCATCCCTAGTGCTTCTCCAGCATCCATCGGATTGAAAGCAAAATTTGAGGATAATTAAAGAATAAAGGGGTTATTGACTATCCTCTGAACCTCCTCCTGTTGGCCCCTCCTATCTTTGGCTGTGGGAGCGGAGTTTAGCAGCTGTTCCAGGTAGAGTATGGTGTGCCTGACTTGCTCTGTGGGAGACTCGGTCCCCAGGGAATTAGTTGTCACCAACTGTTTTCAGTGTGTCTTCTCGGCTTTGCCCTCTTCCTCTTCTAGAGTTGAATGATTCCCCAACCGATGCTCACAGGAGGCTCTATTCCCCACCCCTCTTCCACCCACCCAAAGCACTAACACACACTGGCAGCATTCACAAACACACCCATCACCAACTGCACCCCAGGTGTTGTGGTCTACTCTCATCACCTGGGCTCACAGTGACACCAATTACCATGGGATTATCTGTCCTCTTCCATGTTTGAGCTCTTAGTGTGTGGACTGTCCCACATTCACTTGAGACAGTGTAACCAGTCCTTTACCTATCTGGTATCACCACCAGTTTCCTTGGGACATAAGCCCAAGGTACAGTCTGATCCAAACTCTCCCCTTCCTTCATCCAAGCCCTTCAAGTTATTCCTCCCTGGTCTAAGCCCAGCATTATTCCTTTCTTAGAATTCTTAGAATGTCAGAGCTGGTGGGGAGGTGGTAGAGACCTCAGAACCCTGACAATCCTCTGGTTCTTGGCTTGCGGCCCAGATTCCTAGGAGTCCAAAACAGTAGGGAGGGAGCCTAAAGTTTCTGACATTTTGTTTTTTTTAATAACTTTTTTTTTCTAACTACAAAGTAATGCATGCTTAATGTAGAAAACTTGGGAAAGGCAGAAGTATAAGAGAATTTTTAAAATCACCCTGTTTGTCCCATTCATCCCTTTAGCTTCAGTGATCCAGTGCCTGGCACAGATACAGATTAGGTACTTAATACACATTTGTTAAACACATTATCTTCAATTCCATTACCCGGAGATAAAAACCACAGTTAACTTTTTATTTTTATTTTTTATTTATTTATTTTTTTTTTGGAGAGATGGAGTCTCGAACTCCTGGGCTCAGGTGATCCTCCTGCCTCTGCCTCCCAAAGTGCTGGAATTACAGGTGTGAGCTCCCGTGCCTGGCAACAGAGTTAACTTTTGATTGTTTTGCCTTCCAACATTTTATATATGTTTTATACAAAGGGGATTATATTATACACCTTTGTAGCCTGCTTTTTTTCCTCTCAGCAATATACTTACTATGTGCGTTTTCCCATATCGATAGCTTCTTTACAACACCATTTTTAATACTTTCATATCATTCCTTCAAATGGCTATACCTTTTCCTAGCCAATTCTGGGAACAACTGACCCCCTGGCATTTGGCATGGGCCCAGGACAGAATGTGTACTGTAATGACCGCCCCCCGTCCCAATTCTCCAGATAGGACATTAAGTTCCTGCCAGCATCTGCAGCCCGTCTCCTGACTCAAAGTTCAGGCTGCTGCTCCAACATAGTGCCACTCAGAGGAGGGCTCCACACCTGCCCCCAACCTTGCCCTGCCCTGCCCTGCCTTGGCCGGCGCCGCGCACCTAAAGCGCCGCTCTGGCGGTGGGGCTGGACAGAAGAGACCCTGCGCGGTCCGGCCGCTCGCCGCGCATGCTCCTTCCTGCGCGCTGCCCTCCCCGGCCCCGCCTCCGCGGCTCCCGCCCGCGAGCGGTTGGGATTTGAATCTGCCGCGGACTGCAGCCGGAAGTGTCGATCCCTCAGCCAGGGCATGGAGCTCTCCTGCCCCGGTTCGCGGTGCCCGGTGCAAGAGCAGCGTGCCCGCTGGGAGCGGAAACGCGCCTGCACCGCCCGGGAGCTGCTAGAGACCGAGCGGCGCTACCAAGAACAGCTGGGGCTGGTGGCCACGGTGGGGGACCTGGCACACGCTCCCATTATAGGACAGGGACCCCAGGGTGTGGGAGGGTCTCTGCGAGGTCGGTAACCCGGAGCATGTAGGGAGCCTGGGCAGACTTCTGCGGTTTCTGGGGGCGCTTGGCGTTAGCCTTCTCTTCCTCTAGGCTAAGAACCAATGTTCTCTCCTTCCGCAGTACTTTTTGGGGATCCTGAAAGCCAAGGGGACCCTGCGACCACCTGAGCGCCAGGCCCTGTTTGGCTCCTGGGAGCTCATCTACGGCGCCAGCCAGTGAGTGGAAGGGGCACAGGGAGAGGAAAGGAGGGAGAGTCCTGGCCTGTGGCCGTGCACAGAGCTTGGAGTCAGACTTAGGTTCTATTTGGAGTCCGCCAGTTAGCTCACCTGTGGCCTTGGCCCAGGGCCTTAGCATGCCCTTGTTCTCCATCTGTACAATGGGGTAATAGCACTACTATTAGTGCTATTCTCATGAAAACTAAATGAGGTGGTGCTTGAGTGGTTCTAGAGCTGCCCTTTTGCTGTCCTTGCCCACACAGGGAGCTGCTTCCCTACCTGGAAGGAGGATGCTGGGGCCAAGGGCTGGAGGGCTTCTGCCGCCACTTGGAGCTCTATAACCAATTTGCTGCCAACTCAGAGAGGTCCCAGACCACCCTGCAGGTAACCTGGAGATGACCTCAAATCTTGCCCCTTACCTTTCCCCTTCATCTGGAGACCCAAACTTCATACATTTCCTGCATTTATAGAGCCCTCTGGGTGCTCAGCTCTGTGGTAAGTTCCTTGTAGAGAAACGAGAGTTTCTCTCAGGAGCACAGCTTACTGAAGGCTGGGAATGTGGATACAGATGAATGCAATATAAGGAGTGGCTTCTCTCCCTGCTTCCAATCCTTTCTCCCTCACTCCAGGAGCAGCTAAAGAAAAATAAAGGTTTCCGGAGGTTTGTACGGCTTCAGGAAGGCCGCCCTGAGTTTGGGGGCCTTCAGCTCCAGGACCTGCTCCCTCTGCCTCTGCAACGGCTCCAGCAGTGAGTGAACTCTTGATTCCAGCCGCCTCTCTCTTTTAGTTTGTATGACTGCTGCCCTCAGCTTTGTGGGATGCCTTGGGGTCGATCCCAAACTCTTGCCTCGACCCTGAGCCAAATTGCTTCTAAAAACCTTTTGCAAGAGTAAATGTGAACCCATTGGAGTACCCAGGGTCTGCAGCCTGAGGCCCTCAGCTGGAACTGTGGAACTTTAAATTGAAGTGAGGGGGCCTGTACTAGGGCCTGAGGCACGGTTTCTGGAAAAGTTTCAGATGCGGGGCTGGCCTGGGTTAGAATTTCTGTCTCTGGGTTAAGCCTGAGTTAAGGGCTATAGTCAGGCTGTCTGTAGCATCCTCCTTGGGTTGATAAACTTTCATCTTCCAATCTGGCCTCCTGAAGTATGGCTAGTCTGCCAGTGACTCTTCAGTGTGGGATGGAAGAGGGCTGTGTGGTGTGAGCCTGGTTCTGAGTCCTACATGAAAGAAGGGGATACAGTAGCCAGAAGCAGATCTTTCCTGGCCTTCAATTGAAGTATGGGTAGAGGGTGATCTGCACATCAGGCAGGGGGAATTCTGCCTGGCTCTGCTTCCCCTCAGACTTCCCACTGTTGAATTCCAGGTATGAGAATCTCGTCGTAGCTTTGGCTGAAAACACAGGTCCCAACAGCCCTGACCATCAACAGCTCACACGTAGGTTCTTGCTCCTCGGCAACGCAGGCTGGAGGCTTCCTCTCCTGTATTCCTTTCTGATTCTGACCTCCAACAATGTCTGGTATGACCCTATCTTCCACTGACATGTATACAGTGTCCCTACTGCTCTGCCTTTTCTTCAAGAAGTCAGACCCTGACCCTGGTCCCTTCCAGAATAACCTCTTTCACAACCATGGCACCCAAAGTCAAAGTTGTATGGGGAGTAAGGTGGGAGATGTTATTCCAGGGGCTGCCCGACTGATAAGTGAGACTGCCCAGAGAGTCCATACTATTGGTCAGAAACAGAAGAATGACCAGCACCTTCGGCGTGTCCAGGCTCTGCTCAGTGGACGCCAGGCAAAGGGGCTGACCTCAGGTAGCTTGCCTACTTCCCCTTCAATCCTCAACTGCCCCATCTTTTATTTTTATCTAACTCCAAATGCCGACCAGCTGCTCTTTTCTTACTCACCCTTCTTCCTGTACTGACCCAGCACATAACCCCTATTTTCTCAGCCTCCCTTTCCTCTTATTCCCATGTATCTTGAAGCTGCACCAGAATAACAGCGCTCCCATCCCCCAGGGCGCTGGTTCCTACGCCAGGGCTGGCTGTTAGTGGTGCCTCCCCATGGGGAGCCTCGGCCCCGCATGTTCTTCCTCTTCACTGATGTGCTCCTCATGGCCAAGCCTCGGCCTCCACTGCACCTGCTGCGGAGTGGCACCTTTGCCTGCAAGGCCCTCTACCCCATGGCCCAGTGTCATCTCAGCAGGGTCTTTGGCCACTCAGGAGGCCCTTGTGGTGGGTTGCTCAGTGTAAGTAATAGGTGGGAACCCTAGACCCAAAATATGTCTCAGATGCTTATGGGCTGGTTTATCTCCCTGGTCTGGGTCCCTTTTCATAGGAACAGAGCCATCTACATTGAGAGAGGATAGCTGGGGCTCGGGCTTCATACCTAGTCATTGTCTCATCCCTGAATTAGCTCCATGGAAACAGCAAGGGCTTCAGCTTTAGCCTGGACCTTTCTGAGCCATGCGCTAAGAGGTGGTCTCTCTCTAGCTGTCCTTCCCTCATGAGAAGCTACTGCTTATGTCCACAGACCAGGAGGAGCTGTCACGCTGGTACCACAGTCTGACTTGGGCTATCAGGTAAGTTGTGTCTTCCCCCAGGAAGGGTGCTGTGATGAGGCCCACAAGCAGGAAATATGCAGTTCCTGTCTCATGCCCTACATTGGTCTGGCACACCCCAGCCACCAACCCCCAGATGATTTTGTCTGAATAAAGCACTCATACCAGTGCCTGAACTGACTGTCTTCTCTCCACAGCAGCCAGAAAAACTAGAGGAATCTTATAGATTCCAGAACTCAGGATACCTCAGGGATAGGTCACAGCCAAGAGTACAAAGGAATCTTCAGTACTGAACAAAACAGAACCCTTCATGATTTGACAAAGGTCACTTTCTGTTTGCCTGGACCAAGCTACTCCAGATCATCTGACCAACTCTTAAAAATCACGGCCAGGCACAGTGGCTCATGCCTGTAATCCCAGCACTTTGGGAAGCAGAGGTGGCAGGATCATTCCAGCCCAGGAGTTCAAGACCAGCCTGGGCAACACAGTGAGTGAGACCCTGTCTCTATTTAAGAAAAAATAATTAAGAAATTTTATTAAAAAAGAAGAATCAGGAAACCAAGTCCAACCCAACTAAACCTCAAATGAACCAGCCCCTAACACAGATGAGGGGATTTGGGACTGATAAGCTCTGTGCTGTGTCCATGGCCCGTCATTTATCAAGGCTGCAGCTTTGTAAATGTGGCTATTTTTATGTTGTGTATAGTTTCTATCATTTATTTTTCCACTGGATTTGAGTAAAGTTTTTTTTCTTTTTTTTGGGAAAGACCCTTCTGTCTCAGTTTTGCTATGAGAAAAGGGATTTTTGGGCCCTGAACGCGGGCATGCTGGTGGCCTCAGGAATACGAGGAAAAGAGCTGGAGCTCCCTCTATCTTCTCTGCTGTCACACTGGAAGGCAGCCTCTTTTTGTCCTAATAAGGACAGCTCTTCAAGAAGGCCCAGTTGTCCTTAGGCACCTAGTATGGGTGTGTACAACCAACTAGGATCGAAAAAACACACAGGAGCACTCCATCATGAAAACAGACTTTGTTTTAGTCGACCTTCAGCTGTCGTCCCTCCTTCCCAGCCAAGGCTGTGACTGGGGCCCTTTGCCACAGCCTGGCTGCACCTTCTCCGTAGTCCCCGCCCCACCTCCCAGGAAGTAGCTAGGTTCCATGTCTCTGTGCTCCAGTTTGTGGGCTCCTCCCAGGCCTGACTGTCACCAATCTCCTCCTCGTCCTCCTTTAAACAGAAGTCCTCAGGAAGAGGTCTGCTGGCCTCTGTGTGGGGAGAGATCAGGAATGTTCCAGTTTCAGAGACTTTGTCTCCACCTCCAGCAGACTCGCCTCCCGAGCCTTCACCTGGTTCTGAAGCCTCCATATCCTTGTCCGGCTTGCTATCTTGCAGCAGCTCGTGGATGGTCCATAGCTTCATGTTCAGAAGCTCCTGCTGGGCTCCAGCCAGAGTAGTCACACTGAAGAAATGTCCACTCAGTGGCTCCCAACCTATGTCCCCATTCCTCCCTCCTGCCACAAATTCCCCAAAAATTCACAGAATCATTGCTCTCCTCACCGCTCAAAAAGGGGGTCCAGCTGGGCCATCAGGTTGTTCAGGTGCTGCTCTGTCTGGGCCAGCTGTTGTGTCAACTGGGCCAGCTGTTGCTCTGGGGATAAGGGAAAAAAGGGGGCAGAAGTGGTTATGTATCTTCTGCTGTCCCCTAAACTCCCCCGACCCAGCACAGACTTCTGCTAAACCCACCTGACTGCAGTGGCTGCTGCTTGCTTGCCTCCTCGTGGAGAACCGCAGTTTCATCTTTCCCCTGTTGTGGAAGAAGGAAAGGGCAGTACTGAAGCAACAAGGTTCTGCTCCATCACCTCAGTCTCCAGAGCCAGCCAAGAGAGAGTGCAATTTGAGATGGAGACAGTGATTGGGTTTTTACCTCAGAGAATCACAATCCTAGTCTATCTAGCTCCTCACCCAGCATATGAAGCGACGTCCTATGTCCCACACATGGTCAGTTTGCTGAAACACCTCCAGGAATGAGCAACTCCCTCCGGTTTGAAAAAAGCTCTGGTGGCTGAGTGCTGTGGCTCACACCTGTAATCCCAGCACTTCGGGAAGCCAAGGTGGGTGGATCACCTGAGGTCAGGAGTTTGAGACCAGCCTGGCCAACACGGTGAAACCCTGTCTCTATTAAAAATACAAAAATTAGCCGGGCGTGGTGGCAGGTGCCTGTAATCCCAGTTACTTGAGAGGCTGAGGCAGGAGAATCGCTTGAACCTGGGAGCCAGAGGTTGCAGTGAGCCGAGATTGCGCCGCTGCACTCCAGCCTGGGTGACAGAGCGAGACTCCATCTCGAAAAAAACAAAAACTTTGGTTGTTAGACAGTTCATGCACAAAGCCAAAATTTGTCCTTTATGTATCTTCTTTCCATAGTGCTTACTGGAGCCTTCCAAAATAATGTCTCCTCAAGGTGACAGCCCCTCAGGAATTTGAAGGCAATGGTCACACCCTCACCCACTTTCCTGAGTTTTTTCTGGTTTATTAACGTCAGTCTTTACAGTCAGTGCTCATTGACGGTGGTTTTCTCTGGTTGTTTCCTGAACACGTAGTGCTCTTAAAGCAATGCCCTGAGGAGAATACAATTCTCCAGGGGCATTCTGATTGGCAGGTGAAGCACAGTGCCATGTTCCCAGCACTGATTTGGGAAGTGGCTTGTCACATCCCACAGTGAACTCAGTCAACTGGAATGCCTAACTCTCTTTCATAAGACCTCCTGCTACATTATGTTTCTCCCAGACTGTACTCAGGTCCAAGAACAGAATTTACTAGTCTATCCTTCTCAAAGTTCATCATTAAATTCAGTCATTCATCCTAGCCTGTCACATCTACCTGGGGTCATTATTAGCTATCTCTTCTAGTTTCATATATCTAAACTGGTTCCATCGGTTCTATTTTATAATGCAAGTACGTAATAGGGTCACGGCTAAAGACACAGCCCTGGAAGGTACTGTTTTTCAAAATGTACTGTCAACTTACATTTCAGGGCCTCCTCCCAAGGAGAACATGAGACCACTTCATATCTGGAACTCTAGAAACACTGGCTGCAGCAATCAACCTCCTGTGCCAAGGCTGGCCCCACTCTTGTAGCATGGACACTGCTAGCTGGGTTCAAATCCCAGCTCCAGCAGTTGCCAGCGCTGGGTGACCTCGAGCAAGTGACTACTCCTCACTGGATTGTAGGAGAACTAAATGTGATAGTCATTATTTACAGTTCACCACACGCTCTTCACATCCGTTACCTCCCTGGATCCTCAAAATAACCTCATAATATTGGAAGGCCAACGGACTACTGTCTTTATTTTACAGACAGGGAAGCTGTGTCTTGTTCTTGGTACCCTGGCACCCCCATGGGAGATTCGGGCTCAGGGGATCCCCACGCCCGGCGGTCCCGCACCTGCAGGGGCACCCCTACCCCCGGCCGCCCCGTACCTGCAAACACTTGTACAGCACAAAAGCCGCGACGGCCGCGGTGTACAGCGCCCCCAGAGGCAGCGACCCGGCCCGGGTCCGCTCGCGTTGATCCTTGAGCGGTGGTCGCCGCCGGGGTTCCGTGGCTCCAGAGCCGGGGTGGGCTGCGTTCCCTGCGGAGGGAGGATACAGGCGAGTCAGCCGAGCTGGGGCCTGGGACCCGTGCGCAGTCCCAGCCCTCCTCCAGCAGCCCTAGCTGGTACCTGGGTGTGCCCGGAGGTCGGGATTGGCGCGGTCTCCTAGGACCCCGGACAGCGCAGACACAAGCAGCAGCCCCACCACACCCAAGAGCGAAACTGCGCCCGCCATTGCCGGCCCACGGGTGGAGGGATCGGGCGGGCGGTGCCGAAGCGGTCCGGCATTGGCCGGCCGCCCCAACGCGCACGCGCACGCGAGCAGGCCGGCCGGCTCCGGGGAGGCCACGCCCACTCCCCGTAGGGCGGGGCCAGACCATATTTGCATAAGATAGTGTCATTCTAGCTTTCCTGTATTTGTTCATTTCGTGTCTATTAGCTATTCTGCTAGCCACAATGCCTCTGAAAGCCTATAGTCTTAGAAAGTTATGCCCGAAAACGGTTTTTTTAATCTCACGCCACCAACTTTCTCACCCTAATCATAAAACACAATTTCTTTAGGGCTATAAAATACTACTCTGTGAAGCTGAGGACGTGGTTCGTGCTGAAGGCCTGTATCCTAGGCTACACACTGAGGACTCTGTTCCTCCCCTTTCCGCCTAGGGGAAAGTCCCCGGACCTCGGGCAGAGAGTGCCACGTGCATACGCACGTAGACATTCCCCGCTTCCCACTCCAAAGTCCGCCAAGAAGCGTATCCCGCTGAGCGGCGTGGCGCGGGGGCGTCATCCGTCAGCTCCCTCTAGTTACGCAGGCAGTGCGTGTCCGCGCACCAACCACACGGGGCTCATTCTCAGCGCGGCTGTTTTTTGTTCCCGAGACCACGGCTCACTGCAGCCTCGACCTCCCCGGGCTCACGCGATGCCTCACCTCAGGCTCCCAAGTAGTTGGGACCGCAGGCGCACGCCATCATGCCTGGCTAATTTTTGTATTTTTTGTAGAGACGGATTTTCACCTGTTGCCCAGGCTGGTCTCGAACGCCTGGTGTCAAGCGATCAGTCCACCTCGCCCTCCCAAAGTGCTGGGATTACAGGCGTGACACCGCGCCCGGTCAACGCGGCTGCTTTTCATGCGCGGGCAGCTTTACGCTGTTCTTGGCCTTGCTATGAAGTCCTTGTGCTCATTACTCCAAATATGGAGCATTCCTGAAACAGCCTCCTCTTCTACCTCCCTCTCCCTTTGGCAAACGCCATAGTAGCCACCATTCACTGTGTAGCTGGTACACAACATATGGACTCTGCTTGGGCTAGAATCCTGCCTCCTGTACTCAAGAGCGGTGACCTTGTGAAACTTAGTTCTCTCTCCGTGCCTTCCTTTCCACTCTGAGGAATGAAGATAAGCACTTACTTCAAGAGCTATGATGATTAAATGGGATCACTCAAGTTAGAACCGTGCCTACTTATTAGTGATTTTTTTTTTTTTGGAACGGCGGGTCGCTCTCTTGCCCAGGCTGGTCTTAAACTCCTGGGATCCTCCCGCTTCAGCCTCCCGGGTAGTTGACATTACAGGCACGTGCCACCCCGACGGACTCTAGTGATTTTTTAACTTGAGCAGCTACTACTGTAAGCCAGACAGTTGAAATTACACTGACTCTCCCTGACATGCCGCTGCATTCCCTTTCTGCATACTGGGTTCTACACGACCTTCAGTTCTCAGCTCAAGTGTGTTCCCATCATTCGGAACCCTTAATTCAACTTCTAATTTATTCTTTAGTGCCGCTATTTCACTTTCTTCAATACCACTAGACAAGCAGTCCCCAACCTTTTTGGCATCAGGGACCGGTTTCGTGGAAGACAATTTTTCCATGGACGAAGCGGGGTGGAGGGATGGTTTCCGGATGAAACTGTTCCACTTCAGATCGTCAAGCATTAGATTCTCACGAGGAGCGTGCAACCTAGATCCCTCCCATGCACAGTTCACAATATGGTTCGCGCTCCTATGAGAATCTAATGCCGTGCTCATCTGACAGGAGGCGGAGCTCAGGCGGTAATGATTGCTGGCCCCACTGCCCACATCCTGCTATGTGGCCCGGAGCCTAACAGGCCACAGGCTGGTGCTGGCCTGTGGCCGGGTGTTGGAGACCCTTGAGCTAGGCTGGTCCTAAATTCCACAAGGGCAGGAGCCACCTCTCTTTTTTCTTTACCATTTTACTCCCAGAGCCTAGCACAGCACGTGGCGCCTGGCGATAGCAGGCACTCAATGAATCGTTGTTGAATGAAATTAATGAATGGTTAAAATGACCCAAAAGGGTAATATAGTTAAGCTCTTTCAAAGAATGAGGCAACTGCAATTCAGCAAGGTTAAGTATGCTACTAATCAGGTAAGAGGCAGGGTGGTGATTTCACCAGTTTTTTGCCTGTCTCTATACCTTCTGTCGAACAGCCTTTCCCCATCCTTGTCTTCCATGACTTCACCAGGCAGGCAGGTATTCCTTCTGTTCCACAGAGCCTTCCATGGTCTCTTAATTGGGATACACTGGGTCATCTGTCTAGTTAGATCAAGAGCTCCCTGACATGAAACCATTTCCATTCATCACATTTTTATCTCCAGAGCCTGGCATACAAACAGGCAATCAGTACATCATGTGTGTTAAATAAATGAATGAAGCCAAGATCGGTGGCTTATGCCTCTAATCCCAGCACTTTGGGAGGCCGAGGCAGGAGGATCACCTGAGGTCAAGAGTTTGAGACCAGCCTGGCCAACATGGCTAAATCTCGTCTCTATTAAAAATAGAAAAATTAGCCGGGTGTGGTGGCGGGCGCCTGCAGTCCCAGCTATTTGGGAGGCTGAGACAGGAGAATCACGGGAACCTGGGAGGTGGAGGTTGCAGTAAGCCGAAATCGTGCCACTGCACTCCAGCCTGGGCAAACGAGTGAGACACCGCCTCAGAAAAACAAAACAAAAACAAAAATTAACCAGGTGTGGTGGCCAGCACCTGTAATCCCAGCTATTCAGGAGGCCGAGGCATAAGAATAGCTTCAACCTGGGAGGCGGAGGTTGCAGTGAACAGAGATCGCGCCACTGCACTCCAGCCTCAGTGTCAGAGCAAGACTCCATCTCTAAATAAATAAATAAATAAATAAATAAATAAATAAATAAATGAAATATGGGTGTGTCTTCTTGTTTTTCCTGAAAGGAGGAGGAAGGGCAGGACAGGGAGAAACCCTCACCAAGGGGAGTTATCATAGTGTAGTTCAAGGGTCCCCAACACTATTGGTCCATGGCCTGTTAGGAACTGGGCCGCACAGCAGGAGGTGAGCAGCGGAGGAGCAAGGGTGAGCGGCGGAGTAGCGAGGGAAGCTTCATCTGTATATACAGCCACTCTCCATCCTGGCATTACCGCCTGAGCTCTGTCTCCTGTCAGATCAGTGCAGTGTTAGATTCTCATAGGGCCACGAACCCTATTGTGAATTGTGCATGCACGTGATGTTGTGGGCTCCTTATGAAAATCTAGGCCAGGTGCAGTGGCTGATGCCTGTAATCCCAGCACTTTGGGAAGCCAAGGTGGGTGGATCTCTTGAGGCCAGGAGTTCAAGACCAGCCTGGACAATATGGTTAAAAAAAAAAAAAAGTCTCTAATAAAAATACAAAAATTAGCTGCGCATGGTGGCGCATGCCTGTAATCCTAGCTACTTGGGAGGCTGAGGCATAAGAATTGCTTGAACCCAGGAGGCGAGGTTGCAGTGAGCCAAGATTGCACCACTGCACTCCAGCCTGGGTGACAGAGCGAGACCCTGTCAAAAAAACAAAACAGAACAAAAAAACCACAATACCTGATGATCTGAGGTGGAACAGTTTTATCCCAAAACCATCCCCTCCTCCCATACTCCTGTGCATGGAAAAATTGTCTCCCACAAAACCTGTCCCTGGTGCCAAAACGGCTGGGGACCAGTGGTCTAGCTGATGACCCAGTGACAGCCTGGGTACGCAAAGCAGGGTAATAGAAATCTTGAATCTAAGCCAGTTGGCACAGTCGGTGTAAATAAGGGGTTCAGGCCAGATATAATAATGATAAGTGGTCCCCAACTGATTATTGCCTTTAGAGAACTCAGGGCACTATTGCCAGATCTTTTTTTGAAGGAATCAACAAATTAGAATTTTAAAAATTTGAAATCTCCCAATTTTTAACTGTTGACAAGGAATCAGTGGCATACTTAGCATATTTGACACCAAGTGGTCTTTGTGTGTGTGTGTGTGTGTGTGTGTGTGTGTGTGTGTGTGTGAGAGAGAGAGAGAGAGACAGGGTCTCCCTCTGCTGCCCAGTCAGGAGTGCAGTGGTGAGACCATGGCTCACTGCAGCCCCAAATTTCTTGGATCAGCCTCCTGAGTACCTGGGACTGCAGGTGCACACCACCATGCCCAGCTAATTTGTGTGTTTTTTTGTTGTTGTTTTTTGTTTGTTTGTTTGTTTGTTTTTTGTAGAGACCAGGGTATTGCCCAGGCTGGTCTTGAACTTCTGGCCTCAAGGAATCTGCCTGCCTCAGCCTCCCAAAGTACTGGGATTACAAGTGTGAGCCACCTTGCCTGTTCCGGATCATTTAAAAAACATTTTTCTTTCTTTTCTGTCTTTTTTTTTTTTTTTTTTTGAGACAAGCTCTCACTCTGTTGCCCAGGCTGGAGTGGTGCAGTGGCACAATCATGGCTTACTGCTGCCTCTATCTCCCAGGCTCAAGCAATCTTCCCACTTCAGCCTCTTAAGTAGCTGTGACTACAGGCACACATGCCCCCATGCCTCGCTAATTTTTTAATTTTTTGCAGAGATGGGAATCTCACTATGTTGGTTAGGCTGGTCTCAAACTCTTGGGCCCAAGCTATCCTCCCACCTCAGCCTCTCAAAGTGCTGTGATTACAGGTGTGAGCCATCACACCTGGCCCAAATTTTTCTTTCTTTCTTTTTTTTTTTTTTTTTGAGATGGAGTCTTGCTCTGTCGCCCAGGCTGCAGTGCAGTGGAGTGATCTTGGCTCACTGCAGCCTCCACCTCCTGGGTTTAAGCAATTCTTGTGCCTCAGCCTCCAGAGTAGCTGGGATTACAGGTACCTGCCACCATGCCCGGCTAATTTTTGTATTTTTAGTAGAGACGAGGTTTCACCATGTTGACCAGGCTGCTCTCAAACTCCTGACCTCAGGTGATCCACCCACCTCAGCATCCCAAAGTGCTGGGATTACAGGCGTGAGCCACCATGCCCAGACCCAAATTTTTCTTGTTTTCTTTCTTTTTTTGGGGGTGGGGGGCAGGGTCTCACTCTGTTGCCCAGGCTGGAGTGCAGAGGCTTGATCTTGGCTCACTGAAACCTCTACCTCCTAGGCTCAAGCAATCCTCCCACCTCAGCCTCTCGAGTAGCTGGGACCACAGGCGTGCACCATCACACCTGGCTAATTTTTTGTATTTTTGGTAAAGACGGGGTTTTGCCATGTTGCCCAAGCTGTTCTTGAACTCCTGGGCTCAAGCGATCCTCTTGCCTCACCCTCCCAACGTGCTGGAATTGCAGGCATGAGCCACCATGCCTGGAACAAAGTTTTATTTTTCAAGTGGATCATTTAAAAAAATGCTTTATGGCCAGGCACGCCACTTCTCTCCAGCCTGGGCAAGTGAGCCGAGATTGTGCCACTGCGGTCTGGTCTGAGCGACAGAGGGAGACTCCATCTCAGATAAATAAATAAATAAAATTAAAACAAATTTAAACATTCTTTATATGACAAAATTATTCTCAATGGCAATTATAAAATGAATAATAAGGGCCAAGAAATAAACTCAGTGAATATTTTCTTTCCTTGAACTTTGTAAATATAATCATGTCAGCATAAAAACAGCCATGCATTGCTTAACAACAGGGATATGTTCTGAGAAATGAGTCACTAGGCAATTTTGTCATTGTGCAAACATCATAGAGTGTATTTTCACAAACCTAGATGGTGTAGCCTATTACCCATCTAGGCTACATGGTATAGCCTGGTGCTCCTAGGCCCCAATGCTTACAGCATGTTACCATACTGAATACTGTAGGCAGTTGTAAGACAATGGTATTTGTGCATCTACTGTAGAGACAGGGTCTCTCCGTCTGTCGCCCAGGCTGGAGTGCAGTGGCATAATCATAGCTCCCTGCAGCCTCCAACTCCTGGGCTCAAGTGATCCTCCCACCTCAGTCTCCCAAGTAGCTAGGACTACACGCTTGTGTCATCAGGCCTGTCTACTGTTTTTGTTTGTTTTTTGGTAGAGATGGAGGGTCTCACTATATTGCTCAGACTGGTTTTGAACTCCTGGCCTCAAGCAATCCTCCTGCTGCCTTGGCCTCCAAAGTGCTGGTATTACAGGAATGAGCCACTGCACCTGGTCCACTACAGCAATTTAAAAGTTAGATCTGGGCTGGGCGCAGTGGCTCATGCCTGTAATTCCAGCACTTTGGGAGACCGAGGTGGGCAGGTTGCTTGAGGTCAGGAGTTGAGACCAGCCTGGCAACACAGGGAGACCTATCTCTACAAAAAATGAACTAGATTAGCTGGGTGTGGTGGCACATGCCTGTAGTCCTAGCTGCTTAGGTGGCTGAGATGGGAGGATCACTTGAGCCCGGGAGATCGTCAAGGCTGCAGTGAGCTGAGATTGTGTTACTGCACTCCAACCTGGGAGACAAAGTAAGACCCTGTCTCAAAAAAAATATAAAACTTAGATCCATAAAATATTTTTCAGGGAGGATAATTTTATCACTGATTTTTTTTTTCAGAATTTCTGGAACATGGTGATAATAAGAGGACTGATTTTTATTTTTTAAATTCTCTACAGACAATGCACCCCCTTATTGCCTGCAACTCAAGGGGCAGGACTTCTGCCATCCCTATTGTTGGCATGCCACTGCACTGATTTTAAACTTTTAAAAAATGTTGTATGGGCTAGACAAAACACATCTCTGACTTCTGGTCTCAGGTTTATATTTGCAACTTAAAATCCCTCTTCCTACATCAATAGCCTTGCACGTGATGGAGTTAGCTCTAGGTATGGCAGGTACTACACCCGCTGAAGTGAACATGTGCAAGATAGGGCTCAGTTTCCCAGGACAGTCCTACAGCAAAGAGTTTTAAAATGCAATTAATTATTGAGAGTGACAGTTCTTACAGACAGTTTGGATGAAGTGGGTTGAAAGGGGAGGTTTGGGGGTGTCCCCCAAATTATAATGCCCCCAATGAAACAATAACAAGCATCATCTAAACACATATCCTCTCAGATCAGCCTTAGGGTGTGATGGGATCAGAGGTACCAGGAGGCTCCCCCGACCCTTCCACTTTATACCATACTCATTGAGGAATACATCTTTCTTCTGGGACCAGAGTCAGGGAGGAAGGTGGGCATCCTGGAGCAGAAGGGGTGTTCCTGTCCTTGTTAGTCCTGCTTCACACCACTTCTGCCCCCACCCCCCGCCCTCAGAGTCCTCAGGGACTCAACTGCCCGTGGCACATTACCCACAGGCCTGCTTCTCTTCTCAAGGGGGGCAAAGGGCCTGGGCAGCGAGGGTGGGGGAAGCTCAGGAGCTGCAGGAGTGGCGCAGGTGCAGGCACAGGGCGGGGTCTTTGTTCTTTTTTTCATCCCTCCCCTCCCCCTTCCTCCCCGGAAACCAGAGACTTTGCCACCACCAGTATTGGGGATGCTGAGCTGCGGGGTACGGGCCTGAGGAGGGATGGGAGTAAGAAGTGCTGTGGAAACCGTCAGGCCATGAACCAGGCTGACCCTCGGCTCAGAGCAGTGTGCTTGTGGACTCTCACATCTGCAGCCATGAGCAGAGGCGACAACTGCACGGATCTACTCGCACTGGGTGAGCTGGGCAGGGCAGGGGCTGGTGGGGGAGGGGTCATGTGGCCCCAGGTCCCACCTGCTGGGCCCTGGGGGTGGGGCGGGGCTGTTACACCCCCCTTCCTTTCACATCCACAGGAATCCCCTCCATAACCCAGGCCTGGGGACTGTGGGTCCTCTTAGGGGCTGTGACGCTGCTATTTCTCATCTCGCTGGCTGCACACTTGTCCCAGTGGACCAGGGGCCGGAGCAGGAGCCATCCGGGGCAGGGACGGTGGGTGAAGGACAACAGGGATGGGTTGACTGAGAGTTCTCTCTTACCGAGAAGTCCCCACTCATCCCCTAAACTCTGCGTTGCAGCTCTGGAGAGTCTGTGGAAGAGGTCCCGCTGTATGGGAACCTGCATTATCTACAGACAGGTAGGGAGCTGGCAGAGAGGAGGGGCACAGAGGCCAGGTCCTGGGTGGCTGGGATGGGGGCGTGCAGGAGGAAGGACAAGTTGCTGACCAGATTCCTGTTCCCCGTCCCAGGACGGCTGTCTCAAGACCCAGAGCCAGACCAGCAGGATCCAACTCTTGGAGGCCCTGCCAGGGTGAGTCAACTGTGGCTGGAGAAAAGGGGGAGGGAAGGAAGTGGGGGGCTTTTCGGGCTTTTCCGAGGGTCCAGTGAACTTCTAACAGCCTTGCATCTCCAGGCTGCAGAGGAGGTGATGTGCTATACCAGCCTGCAGCTGCGGCCTCCTCAGGGTCGGATCCCCGGTCCTGGAACCCCCGTCAAGTACTCGGAGGTGGTGCTGGACTCTGAGCCAAAGTCCCAGGCCTCGGGCCCCGAGCCGGAGCTCTATGCCTCAGTATGTGCCCAGACCCGCAGGGCCCGGGCCTCCTTCCCGGATCAGGCCTATGCCAACAGCCAGCCTGCAGCCAGCTGAGATGGAGGGCCTGGCACAGCGGGGCGTGCACTGCCCCAGCCCCCCGTAGCAGGGGCATGACTGTTTCCCAACCAGCACCCAAAGACGGGCGCCATTGCCAAGTCACAGGATGTGATCTACCCCGGACTTCCTATCTGAGCTTCAAGGGAGACATCTCAGGGCAAAGCTTTCGTGATGGAGGAGGCAAAGACAGTAGCCCCCTCCTTATTTCTTTTTTCTATCTGTTCCTCTTAGCCCCCAAACTCCCAGGTTCTCACTTCCTTCTTCTGGAGTTTAACCAGATCCTCCCCACCCCCGCTCCCTCATAGTCTACCCCCACGCCTCAGTGTCTCCTCAGGCACAGGAAGTGGGCGGTGGGGGAGGGGTAAGGGCCTGACAGTGGGTGGGTGGGTATATTCCTCAGGAGTCCACAGACTGGAGTGGACCTGGAACTTAGAGACGGGAGGGACCCGAGCCTGGCTTTTGACCTAAGAACCCTAGCAGGAGAATACAGTCTCCATCCTGCTGTCTCTGTCCTGTCCCCAAGTTTTCAAATAAAACTTTCCAAAAAGTGTTTAGATTTTTACCTAGAAGGCTGAAGACTTGCAAAGGGCCCTGCAGATGGGGGTGTGAGCTTTGCTGTCTGCACGGAGCTCTTTCTGGGGGTGCCTAGCTGGGGATGAGGGGCCAAGAGGGGCTGCGGCATCAACAGTGCAGAGGTGGGCACCGGGGTGGAGGGCCAGAGCCCAGCTCCTCAGCTGCTGTTGCTGCTGCTAGAACACCCCTGGGATCTGCACTCAGAGCCACTGCATTCCCCCTGGGGCTGCAAGCTCACAGTCCTGAGCTACTCTCCCCTTGACCTCTATAACTGCCATCACCTCCACAACCTGCCAGCCTGGTTCCTTCATCAAGTCCTCCAATCTGACCTCCGTCTGTCCGCTATGAGTCCCACCTATACCCCTGTTTTGACATCAGTAGCCTTATCTGCACTTAGTCATCGTATACCCCTAGAGGCCTTCTCCTTACCCCATCACTATGGCAGCGGTCCATCTCCACTCACTCTCTCCCACTCTGGCCTCCCAAAGTGCTGGGATTACAGGCATGAGCCACCGTGCCTGGCCTTCACTCTCTCAGTTGTCACCTGCAGTCTTGGCAACAGTTTTGCTTGTCACCACTTTCATTTTAATCCCCATCTAATTTGTCCTGCCTGTCCACCCATCACCTGCTGATTCTTAACCCCAGCCTCCTACCCCATATAGCATGCTACATCAGCCAGTTGGCACAGAGATTAGGACTCTGGGCTCAGGAGCCGGACTGCCTGCATTCAAATTCCATGTCTACCACTTACCAGCTGTGTGTTCTTGGGCAACTGTGCCTCGGTTTCTGAATCTGTAAGATTGAGAGGATATTAACGGTGTTTACTTCAAAAAAAGGTGGTTGTGAGGCTGAATGAGTTACCATTTGTAAAGCACTTAGACAATAAATGCTCAATAATGCTAGGCATTATTAAAATAAGAGAAATACAGGATCCTCTATGGGAGCTCATAGGTGAAGTGACTTCTAGGTAGAGACATGACACATAGTAGGAATCTGCCAGGAGAAGCGAAGGACAGAAAATGCTCCAAGGCAAAGGGAACCACAGGCAAAGGAGAGGCTTATTCAGAGGACCTGGCAGAAGTGCATTAGGCACAGCGGAGGGTAGAGTGAGATGGGGGCAATGGTAAGATGAGGCTGGAGGGGCAGACAGAGCCAGATCACACTGCGCCCATAAGTCATGCCAAGGAGCTTGGGCTTTATCCTGCAGGGGAGGTGAAAGGGAGTCACTGAAAGTTTTAAGCGAGGGATGAACACAGTGAGTTAAAGGCTCTAACTCCACTGGCTGCTGTGCTGATCTAGTGGTCAGCAGTCTGGAGTCAGGCGGCGCCTTTCAAAGGCTATTGCAAGATTTGAGTGAGAGGGGATGGCGGCAGTAGCGGTAGGGATGCAGAGGAGGGATGGATTACAAAGAGATGTTTAGGGTTTTTTTTTTTTTTAAAGGCCCCACCTATCACATCTTCCAGATTTCTGGTTAGAGCCTGTAACACCCCCCAACCCAAATCCTCATCATCATAATACAGCATAGCTCCAAGTTGGTTTCAGCTCATCACCTTCCTCACCTGGCAATCTCTCTCTCTCTCTCTCTCTCTCTCTCTCTCTCTCTCACAAACACACACACACCCTCCACCCCTTAAGCCCATCTGTGATCCATCTGTCTAGCAAAAGCTCCAACCTGTCAAACCTCTTCTAGGATATTTCAAGGTCTAGACCATCTCCCCAGGGCCTCTGTAGAGGCGGGCCGCGCTTGACAGATCTTTCTGAGGCTTGAGGGGCTGAAGAAAGGAGAAGCTGAGGCTTTCACTTCCAAGCTTCTCTTCTTCCCACTTGGAGTGCCACAGGAAGCCACAGAGGAGGAACCCGTGCGCCTGATTCCTGCCTGGTGGTCCCAATTTGAAAGGGACCACCCTTCCCTTAAGCCCACCCCCCTACAGACCCCACAAATGCCCCTGGGTCCCTGGACCTCTGAGGACCCCACCCTGGGCCTCCCCAGGAGAGGCCCAGGTCGCGGTTAAGGGCAGGTAGCTGGGGATGCGGAGGAGGGAGGGAGGGAGGCTTCGGGGGCGGACACCGGATGCGGGGAACCACCGGCAGCGGGATGTGGGGTTCTGAGGGCTGCGGTGCTTCTGAAGATGGCTCAGCGTCGCGCCAGGTGGACGTGAGAGCTTTACCCTGGAGGAGGCGGGGGTTGGAGTCCCGCCTACCCACTGGGACAAGCCAAGGGGTCAAACGCCCCCAACCCAGCCCGCAGATCTCCTCGAAGCACCCGGTTCTCCTGGCCCGCCCAGACCCACGGCGCTCGCCGCCTTCGCCCGCTTAGGACTGAGTCCGCAGCGCCGCCGCCTGGCGAGGGGCGGAGTTGCCACCACTTCTGCGCAGGCGGGATGCAGCCTGGCCCGCGGCATCCCGGGAGTTGTAGTCTCGACGCTTCGGGGCCACCCCAGGGTCTGGTCCCTGACGACGCGCAGTGAGGGCCCCGCCGCTACCCCAGCAGTCGCCTCCCAAGTTCGCGGAACGCAGCTGACCGGCTCCCTCTGGACTGGGTGACATGACTGCTCCCAAGCAGTCGTTTGTAAACTGAGTTTCTGTAAAACAATTTTATTTTTCATATGTGACTGTAGCGGGGTATGATTTGAACTTTGTTTTCCGTCCCCCAGCCCGGATTCTCTGTCTTCTCCTGTACAGCCGTTCCGTTTTCTTACCTCGTCTCCGTCACCGAGGCCCTCAGCCCTGAACACAAGGACTGGGCAGTTTCCCTATTGATTCCTGAACCTGGAACTTAAGACATCTTCCGAGGGGCCCCCCCTTGCCACACCCTCTAGCTGATCGACTCACAAATACCTGTGATTTCTCTCCCCGTCTCCACCTCCAGGTACTTCCCTAGTGGACTCCTTTCCCTCACCGGCGTAGCATTCCAGCCAGAAGGAGTGCCCGTCCTAGCGCCCCGTTCCCAGGGACAGACCCTCAGGGGGAGCTCCTAGGGCCCCAGCTGTCCCTCCTCTTTCTTAAAGCCTAGCTAGGAGGATAGGGACACATTGAAAACGGAAGAGGGAGGGTCTCCGGGACAGTCAAAGGTTCAACAGCAGGAAGTTCTTTTTTTTTTTCTTTTTTTTTGAGGCGAAGTCTTGCTCCTGTCGCCCAGGCTGGAGTGCAATGGCACGATCTCGGCTCACTGCAACCTCCGCCTCCCAGGTTCAAGAGATTCTCCTGCCTCAGCCTCCTGAGTAGCTGGGAATACAGACGCCCGCCAACACTCCCGGCTAATTATTTTTGTATTTTTAGTAGAGAGAGGGTTTCGCCATGTTGGGCAGGCTGGTGAACTCCTGACTTCAGGTGATCCGCCCACCTAGACCTCCCAAAGTGCTGGGATTACAGGCTTGAGCCACCGAGCCTGGCCAGGTTCTTAAGAAATTACTTATAGGTGGGGAGGGTCTTTGGAAGCCATCCGGCCAGGGCACCTCCATCTTTGGCCCTGCTCTGTAGTCTCTCAAAGATGGGTTTAAACTTCCAGCTTGGTTTTCTTACAAGGAGGGAAACAGAGCTGGGTTGTGGAGAGAAACCAAGTGTTTTTTAATTCTTAATTTTTATGGGTACATAGTAGGTGTATGTATTTATAGAGTACATGAGATATTTTGATATACGCATACAATGCATAATACAGACCAAGTTTTTTTTTGTTTGTTTTTGTTTTTTGAGACGGAGTCTTGTTCTGTTGCCCAAGCTGGAGTGCAGTGGTGCAACCTCGGCTCACTGCAACCTCTACCTCTTGGGTTCAAGCGATTCTCCTGCCTCAGCCTCCCTAGTAGCTGGGACTACAGGTGTGCACCACCATGCCCTGCTAATTTTTGTATTTTTAATAGAGACGGGGTTTCACCGTGTTGGCCAGGCCGGTCTCCAACTCCTGACCTCAAGTGATCCACCCGCTGGGATTACAGGCGTGAGCCACAGCGCCTGGCCCAGACCGAGTCTTAATGACTTCATTTGAAACCTTGAATCTAGACATGCCCAGAGCTATATTTGCCTTCTGAACTTTTTGGCTATGTAAGCTAATGAATTCCTTTTTTTTTTTTTTTTTGAGACGGAGTTTCGCTCTTGTTGCCCAGGCTGAAGTGCAGTGGCGAGATCTCGGCTCACTGCAACCTCCGCCTCCTGGGTTCAAGCGATTCTTCTGCCTCAACCTCCCGAGTAGCTGGGAATACAGGCATGCTCCACCACCCCCGGCTTATTTTGTGTTTTTAGTAAACGGGGTTTCTCCATGTTGGTCAGACTGGTCTGGAACTCCCAACCTCAGGTGATCTGTCCACCTTGGCCTCCCAAAGTGCTGGGATTACAGGCGTGAGCCACCGCGCCCGGCCTTTTTTTTTTTTTTTTTTGGCTTCAGTCAAAGTTATGTTTTCTATCTCTCGCAGTCACGAGTTCTGACTAATTCTGTGGGGGAAAGACCAACAGACAGGAGCCAGCTGAAGATGCTGAACCTCTGATGTCTTCACTTATTGCCCAATTCCTCCTTGAGCCACCCTCCTCTGACTTAAATGTACTGTCATGCCATTTGGCCCTAAGATATTTCTACTTAACGTGTGAGTTAATCAGATCCCTTGTCTAGCTTATAAATTTCTAGAATCATATAGCCAAAAGGAGGCTGACAGATCTGGCCCAAAGTTACACCCACTGCAGGAACTGCCCTATGATTTCTTCTTGAACACTTCCAGAAGCTGAACCTCTCCTTGGTAAGGACCTCACTACCTTTCCAAGGACTCTCTTCCAATCTTTCTGATTGATAGAACTTTTAAAATTTGGAACCAAAGTTGGCTTCCTTGTTACTTGTCTCACTGGTTCTGTCGATACTGGTCTGACAGCCCTGGAGGAATTGGGAGCCAGTCCTTACAAATAACCTAGGTCTTTTTTTTTTTTTTTTTTTTTTTTTGAGACAGAGTTTCACTCTTGTTGCCCAGGCTGGAATACAGCGGTGTGATCTTGGCTCACTTCAACCTCCACCCCACCCCTGGTTTCAAGCGATTCTCCTGCCTCAGCCTCCAGAGTAGTTGGGACTACAGGCACTCGCCACCATGCCTGGCTAATTTTTTGTATTTTTAGTAGAGATGGGGTTTCACCATGTTGGCCAGGATGGTCTCAAACTCCTGACCTCATGATCCACCCACCTTGGCCTCCCAAAGTGTTGGGATTACAGGCATGAGCCACCATGCCTGGCCTTTCTTTCTTTTTTTTTTTTTTCCTTTTCAGGAGAAGCGTTCTAAAGTGCCTTCTACAGTTTGTTTGTTTGTTTGTTTTGAGACGGAGTTTTTCTCTGTCACCCAGGCTGGAGTACAATGGTGCGATCTTGGCCCCACTGCAACCTCCACCTCCAGATTTAAGCAATTCTCCTGCCCCAGCCTCCCAACCTCTGGAGTAGCTGGGATTATTGGGGCGTGCCAATACGCCCGGCTAATTTTTGTATTTTTAGTAGAGATGAGGTTTCACTATGTTGGCCAGGCTGGTTTTGAATGCCTGACCTCAGGTGATCTGCCTGCCTCCGCCTCCAAAAGTGTTGGGATTACAGGCGTGAGTTACCCAGCCCGGCCCCTTCTATAGTTCTTTTACAGACTTTATTTGCAGCTTACTCATCACTCCCTTTCGGCTTGATCCTTAACGTGTGGCACTAAGAAGTCAATCTAGTACTGGGAACACATAGTTGGGGGCCATCTCTTTGACTCGGCGCGCTTAGTCTACCAGGCCTTTGTTTGTAAGGAATCAAGTCTTTAAGTGAAGCGTTGTTTATTGTAAGGACACATGGGGCAATCAGGAGGCCTAAATGGAATGGGAATCCCAGAGCAGTGGCTATGGTGTGAGTAGACCTCTGCAGACTGTTATTGGATCTCAGATCTCTGCAGTGCTGGGGACTGTCACGCGCGTCTGTGATGGTCCAGGGGGCTTCCAAGGCGATTGGGCAGTGTCGGTCTTCAGCTGCTAAGCCGAGCAGATGTGGGAAGGAGTCAGCCAAGGAACGTTGGGTTTGAGCTCCAGGAGCTTTAGGAATGGTGGCGATGTGAGTCGGACAGTCCAACCTCCAGTGGGGGCCCACACAGACAGGGCACGGCCTAGGAGGAATCCCGAGCTGTGGGCATTCTCAGGCCCAGTGGCCAGGCTTTTGGCATTTGAAGCCAGGTCCACGAGGAGGTTTTGAAGGAGCCCCTGGGAACTGTGGCTTGGATGTTCTGAAGTTTTTGTGTGCTGGAGACGTGGTTGTGGGTTGTCTTACAGCAGAGGCGAGTAGCTGTAACTCAGAGATGCCTTGTCACTTGGCTGCCTCTTCTCTATTATTGTACACCTTGAAGGCAAGGTTAATTAAGTCCTGTTGTGGGGTTTGAGGGCCGGAATCCAATTGTTGGAGTTTTTTCCTAATATCAGGAGCAGATTG
The DNA here is from genome assembly GCF_000001405.40 of Homo sapiens. Lineage (NCBI taxonomy): Eukaryota > Metazoa > Chordata > Mammalia > Primates > Hominidae > Homo > Homo sapiens. The sequence continues at coordinate 35,642,859 of NC_000009.12, read as the reverse complement.
GGTGATAAAATGCATATTAAGAATAAGGCGGCAACCCAAAAGCAACTAAGAGGGTTCCTTGGCATAACAGGCTTCTGCCGAATATGGATTCCCAGGTACAGCGAAATAGCCAGGCCATTATATACACTAATTAAGGAAACTCAGAAAGCCAATACCCATTTAGTAAGATGGACACCTGAAGCAGAAGCGGCTTTCCAGGCCCTAAAGAAGGCCCTAACCCAAGCCCCAGTGTTAAGCTTGCCAATGGGGCAAGACTTTTCTTTATATGTCACAGAAGAAACAGGAATAGCTCTAGGAGTCCTTACACAGGTCCGAGGGATGAGCTTGCAACACGTGGCATACCTGAGTAAGGAAATTGATGGAGTGGTAAAGGGTTGGCCCCATTGTTTACGGATAGTGGCAGCAGTAGCAGTCTTAGTATCTGAAGCAGTTAAAATAATACAGGTGATCTTACTGTGTGGCCATCTCATGATGTAAACAGCATACTCACTGCTAAAGGAGACTTGTGGCTGTCAGACAACCATTTACTTAAATATCAAGCTGTATTACTTGAAGGGCCAGTGCTGCGACTGTGCACTTGTGCAACTCTTAACCCAGCCACATTTCTTCCAGACAATGAAGAAAAGATAGAACATAACTGTCAACAAGTAATTGCTCAAACCAGTGCCGCTAGAGGGGACCTTTTAGAGGTTCCCGTGACTGATCCCGACCTCAACTTGTATACTGATGGAAGTTCCTTTGTAGAAAAAGGGCTTTGAAAAGCAGGGTATGCAGTGGTTAGTGATAATGGAATACTTGAAAGTAATCCCCTCACTCCAGGAACTAGTGCTCAGCTGGCAGAACTAATAGCCCTCACTCGGGAACTAGAATTAGGAGAAGGGAAAAGGGTAAATATATATACAGACTCTAAGTATGCTCACCTAGTCCTCCATGCCCATGCAGCAGTATGGAGAGAAAGGGAATTCCTAACTTCCAAGGAAACACCTATCAAACATCTGGAAGCCATTAGGAGATTACTATTGGCTGTACAGAAACCTAAAGAGGTGACAGTCTTACACTGCCGGGGTCACCACAAAGGAAAGGAAAGGGAAATAGAAGGGAACCGCCAAGCAGATATTGAAGCCAAAAGAGCCACAAGGCAGGACCCTCCATTAGAAATGCTTATAGAAGGACCCCTAGTATGAGGTAATCCCCTCCAGGAAACCAAGCCCCAGTACTCAGAAGAAGAAATAGAATGAGGAACCTCAAGAAGACATAGTTTCCTCTCCTCAAGATGGCTAGCCACCGAAGAAGGAAAAATACTTATGCCTGCAGCTAACCAATGGAAATTACTTTAAACCCTTCACCAAATCTTTCACTTAGGCATTGATAGCACCCATCAGATGGCCAAATTATTATTTACTGGACCAGGTCTTTCAAAACTATCAAGCAGATAGTCAGGGCCTGTAAAGTGTGCCAAAGAAGTAATTCCCTGCACTGCAGGCCATACATTTCAATCCCTGTATCTTTAACCTCCTTGTTAAGTTTGTCTCTTCCAGAATTGAAACTGTAAAACTACAAATGGTTCTTCAAATGGAGCCCCAGATGCAGTCCATGACTAAGATCCACCACAGACCCCTGGACCAGCCTGCTAGCCCATGCTCCGATGTTAATGACATCGAAGGCACCCCCCCCGAGGAAATCTCAACTGTGCAACCCCTACTATGCCCCAATTCAGCAGGAAGCAGTTACAGCGGTCATCAGCCAACCTCCCCAACAGCACTTGGGTTTTCCTGTTGAGAGGGGGCACTGAGAGACAAGACTAGCTGGATTTCCTAGGCCGACTAAGAATCCCTAAGCGTAGCTGGGAAGGTGACTGCATCCACCTTTAAACATGGGGCTTGCCACTTAGCTCACACCCAACCAATCAGAGAGCTCACTAAAATGCTAATTAGGCAAAAACAGGAGGTAAAGAAATAGCCAATCACCTTTTGCCTGAGAGCACAGCAGGAGGGACAAGGATCGGGATATAAACCCGGGCATTCAAGCCGGCAATGGCAACCCCCTTTGGGTCCCCTCCCTTTGTATGGGAGCTCTGTTTTCACTCTATTAAATCTTGCAACTGCACTCTTCTGGTCCATGTTTGTTACGGCTCGAGCTGAGCTTTCGCTCCCCGTCCACCACTGCTGTTTGCCACTGTCGCAGACCTGCCGCTGACTCCCATCCTGCTGCTGACTCCCATCCCTCCAGATCCGGCAGGGTGTCTGCTGTGCTCCTGACCCAGTGAGACTCCCATTGCCACTCCCGATCGTGCTAAAGGCTTCCCATTGTTCTTGCACGGCTAAGTGCCTGGGTTCGTCCTAATCGAGCTGAACACTAGTCACTGGGTTCCACAGTTCTCTTCCGTGACCCACGGCTTCTAATAGAGCTATAACACTCATCGCATGGCCCAAGATTCCATTCCTTGGAATCCGTGAGGCCAAGAACCCCAAGTCAGAGAACACAAGGCTTGCCACCATCTTGGAAGCGGCTCACCACCATCTTGGGAGCTCTGTGAGCAAAGACCCACGGTAACACTAACAGGGTCATGGGAATCACCAAATTTATAGCTAGTTGTTCAGAAGTGTGGGTGACCTGGGGACCCCCAAAGTACAGCTGGAATCTGAAGAGAAGATTTGTGAAGGATTAAGCCCTTAACTTATGGAGTCTGCACTAACTGTAGATGGTCAGTGCCAGAAATGGCTTTTAGTACACCAATTTTGGTTGAAACAGAAAAATGTCACAGAATGAAAACCATTTTAGTAAATAGCAATAATTCAGTCATTTTTGGTGGAAATTCTTTGATGTGATCTAAACCAAAATGAGATCAGCTTTGCTTCAAAAAGATTTTGCCAAATAAGAGAAACTGCTGAATATTTAACGTTTAAAATATCAATTTCTATGTATTTTTTCCTTTTTCATGGTGTTCAGGAATTAATTTTGTTAGCAGTCAAGATTGCTTAATCCTCAGAGTTACATTTCCATTTTGCAAAGTAACAACTGGTTGGTTTTTACTCTTAGTTTCCCTTTCCCCAGCCAGCATGTAAACAACCTGCCATATTGTTGCAAAAAGGCAAATAGGGTTAAAATTGGAGACAAGACTTCCATCATTTTTGCCAAGCAGAGAGGGAAGAACTCAGTAATCACATAATTCTGCTCAAACTAAGTGTATCTGAGAACTATTCAAATGTTCACAGGAGGACAGATGACCTCTTTTTTCTCCATTTCTCTTTGGATGTTACACTTTGTCATTTGTCATCAAAATTGGCCTTTTCCTTTATCTCTTTGTGGTAAAGCTTGATGGCATCTGAATTTACACTGTCTCCTTGACAGTTGTGCTGCTTCTGCTTCTTTCTGGCAGTTTCTACTTTTCCTTTCATTTTATTATCCTGCTTTTTATTTCAATTTTGTTTTTATAGTCTCTGTGTACTGTCTTGACCTTTAGATGGTCTTACCTTCAACATGGCAAGGATGTCACACTACCACGTACAAATAACAATGTGCTTTCTTAGCTCATTTCCCTAGCATGACTTTTTTTGAGATGTCAAAAGCAAGTTTTTGAGAAACCAATTGCATTTTTATTTTGCCCTAAGGGTGCTTAACCCAATGTCTCTTCTTTTATTATTATTTTATTACCCAAGGGAAAAAAAATTTACTTAGTTTATTTTTTTAAAGCCAGTACTTTGCTCATCAATTAATGTTTGTTGAATTTATTCCTACTGGATGAGTAGTTGTATTCTTTTGAAATAATGTGTCAAATCTTTGTGCCCAAAGATTAAAAAAATAAAAGTAAAATACATCTAAAAAAAAAAAAAAAGAATAAGGCGGCCTTCCGGCCCCTCTGGGTCTAGGGCGGTAAAGCGTCTAAGGGTTGCTGCCAAGCGGGCCAGGAACTGGGCTGGGTTTTCGCCTTTACCTTGGGTAGTTTCCTTTAGCTTGTCAGAATTAACAGCTTTGTGTGCTGCCTTTTTAAGCCCTTCAACTAGGCAGGAAATCATGTAATCTCGCCTAGCTATACCTGGGGAATCTGCCTGATAGTTCCTTTGGGGGTCCTCTCGGGGAACTGCTCTGATGCCTTCCTGGAGGCCTGGCTCATGAAGCCAGCGGTTGTCAGCGTGAGACTGGGCTAGAGAAAAAACTCTTTCCTGTTCATCTGGGGAGAGGGTGGAAGTCAGGATGACATTTAAGTCACTGCAGGTTAACTTGCAGGACAGAGTTAGATATCGGAATTCCTGTATATATTTAGCGGGGTCTGATGAGAAAGAGCCCAAACACTGGCTGATTTGGGAAAAGTCTGATACAGAAAAAGGCGCATGTACCCAGACTATGCCTTCAGCTCCAGCCACTTCTCTAAGAGGAAATTGTTGGGCAGGTGGGGGAGAGCTAGTCGCAGAACAAAACTGTAAGCCAGACTGGGTGTGAGGAGGGGAGGTGATAGAAGGGTTATAGGGTGGGGGAGCGGAGGCTGAAGAGGAGCTGGAGCCTGATTCAGCCTGGTGGGGAGCGACCTGAGGAGGAGCAGTCTGGGGAGGAGGGGAGAGGTCAGATGGGTCGGTAGAAAAGGAAGATTCAAAAGACCCAGCAACACTTGGGGTTGGGACTGAAGGGACAGGTGGGAGGGAAAGAAGGAGGATTTGGGACAAGTCGCATTGGGAACAGAGACTAGGGAGAGAATGAAGTGTGAAAGACGCCCGGATGTACGGCACCTCCGACCATTTGCCCATTTTTCGACAAAAATTATCTAGGTCTTGTAGGATAGACAAATTGACAGTGCCGTTCTCTGGCCACTTGGAACTATTTTCGAGTTTGTATTGGGGCCAAGTGGTATTGCAGAAGAAAATAAGGCATTTAGGTTTTAGGTCAGGTGTGAGTTGAAGGGGTTTTCAAGAACACAGGCTAAGGGAAAAGATGGGGGAATCGAGGGTGGAAGGTTGCCCATAGTGAAGGAGGTAAGTTTAAAGAGAAAGGTAGAGACACGGAGCAGGGGGTGATGAGCAGCCCTGGGCTGCAATGTGGGTGAGCAGCCAAAGCAGGCGTCCCCACAATTGACTTGCCACCAAGGGAATGTGGGTGAATGACCAAGGCAGGCATCCCCGTGGTGATCAGACACCAATGAAATGTGGGTGAATAATCAGGCAGGCATCCCCGCAGTGATTAGACACCAAGGGAAGGCTGTCTTCCTGAGTCCATGACCAGCGCCGGAGTTTTGGGTCCACAGATAAAATGTGTCTCCTTTGTCTCTACTAGAGAGGAAAAAGAACTGGAATTGGAAGGACAGGGAGATTGAAGGGTAGCAAGAGAGGGAGATTGAAGGGTAGCAAGAGAGGCTGGAGAAGAGAGTGAAAAGACCGCTTACCCAATTTGAAATTGGTGAGATGTTCCTTGGGCTGGTTGGTCTGAGGACCCGAGGTTGTAGGTGGATCTCCTCACAGAGTTAGGGCGAGGACAGGGGACCCGCCTCCCGAAGGAGTCCTCCTGTCCCGGGTCTTCAGCACCAAATGCCATGCACGTCTGTGTGAAGAGACCACCAAACAGGCTTTGTGTGAGCAATAAGGCTGTTTATTTCACCTGGGTGCAGGCGGGCTGAGTCCGAATAGAGAGTCAGCAAAGGGTGATGGGATTATCATTAGTTTTTATAGTTTTGGGATAGGCGATAGAGTTAGGAGCAATTTTTTGCGGGCAGGGGGTAGATCTTCTTACAAAGTACGTTCTCAAGCGTGGGGAGAATATTACAAAGTACCTTCTTAAGGGTGGGGAGGGTGTATCGTACAAAGTACATTCACAAGGGTGGGGGAATATCACAAAGTACTTATCGCAAGGGTGGGGAGGGTGTATTGTCACAAAGTCAATTGATCAGTTAGGGTGGGGCAGAAACAAATCACAATGGTGGAATGTTATCAGTTAAGGCAGGAACTGGCTATTTTAACTTCTTTTGTGGATCTTCAGTTGCTTCAGGCCATCTGGATGTATCCGTGCAGGTCACAGGGGATATAATGGCTTTTCTTGGGCTCAGAGGCCTGACAGGGACCTCAGTGACAGGACTATGTGGGACTTCAGGATCCTGCTCCTCTAGTTCCAAGACTCAGATACTCTCTTCATTTCTGACCTCGTGATCCACCCGCCTAGGCCTCCCAAAGTACTGGGATTACAGGCGTGAGGCACTGCGCCCGGCCAGAAAGTTCTTAAGAAATTACTTATAGGTGAAGAGGGTCTTTGGAAGCGATGTGGCCAGGGTCTCTCCATCTTTGGCCCTGCTCTGCAGTCTCTCAAAGATGGGTTTAAACTTCCAGCTTGGTTTTGTTACAAGGAGGGAACAGATTTAAGTGATTCTCATTTCTTCATTTCTACTTCTTTTATTTATATTCCATTTCTTCCCACTTTGCTAACTTGCTTCCCTATCCTTTACTGTATATTCTCTACTTAGTTGTTCTGGTTCCTTATAACAGCTTCATATTTCCTCTTCGGTCTTGTGACCTCAGTTAAATGTTTAATTATAGAAATAATGTGCACGTGGTTAAAAAAAAAGTCAAATAGAACCAAAGGCTACACAACAGTGGTTCTCAACCAGGGGTGACTTTGCCCCCACCCCCTGCAGGAAACATTTAGGGCATGTCTGGAAACATTTTTGGTTTTCACAACTGGGGAGGGGGTGGTAGTGGAAAGAGGTCAAGGATGCTGTTAAACAACCTACAAAACTCAGGTCAGCTACTCACAATAAGGAATTTCTCACCCAAAATTTATAGTGCTGAGGGTGAGAAATCCTAGCATAGGGGAAAAAATAAAAGTAAAAACCTCTCTCCCCCAATTCCAATTCCTACTCCCAGTCATAGTTCCCAGAGGTAACTACTTTCAACACTTCCTGGCTTTAAGTGTTTTGGTGACTTTTTATTTGTTAATAGTGATACTTAGACCTCTTAGAGCAAGAGAATTCTAGGAAACTCTAGTGAGGTTCTCCATTCCACACCCCCTCTGACAACTCCAGCTATAGGTGACAAACTTTAAGTGGGCTCCTCTGGGCTCCAAGCAGAGAGAATTCCTTATAGACAAGTTCTGGAAAACAGCCTCAGAGCCAAAAGCAAGGACTTTCAGGAAGAAAGCAAGTCTCAGAGACAGCCTGCTTCCCAAGGACAATCATGACTCTTCTGGGTCTTAACTACCAGCAAAACTAATGGTGGATTTAATTTCTCAGCCCTTGAGGCTGGGAGAATGCAGAAAAACCAGAGGGCAGAGGAACCTGCTGGCAGAGACAGCTGAATCCCTGACAGAAAAAATGAGAGCCTGGAAGAGATATGTGTGAAGCTCAAACACAAAAGATTTCCTTGAACTAGAAAATGTGATCTCAGAACTAAAAATTTCCATTGATAAATCAAAGGAGAGGACAGTCATTGCTGAAACCCCAAAATAGGTCTAGAAAATTAAATAGAAAAAAAGTCTCAAAATCTAGCACAAAAATATAGAATTGCAAATATGTGGTAGAAGGTAGAAGCCTGGAACAGATAGAGTAGACTTAACCTGCAAATGCTGTGGGTTCCAGGAGAAAAAGGAACAAGAGAGGAGAGATCATAATTAAATAATAGATGAAATTTCTCTAAGCTGAAGAAAGAATGATTCCAGCTCCAATTGAAACGAAAAGACACACACTCAGCTACATATAGGCAAAAATTCCAAAACTCTAAGAATATAGGAAATCTTACATACTTTAAGGCAGAAAGCAAGTTATTTTTTCTCATCTGCAACCCTGAAAGTTAAAAGACCCCCAGATGGAATGTGGGCTAATGAAAGAAAAGGCCTGCAACCTATACCCAGCCAAGGAAGAAAAAAAGATTTGCAAAAATCACTGAGTACCTCATCTGAGAAATACTTTTGAGAAGAGACTCTAATAAACAACAAATGAATCCTAACACAGACTTCAAGACAGGGGAAGAGAAGAAGCAAGAAACCAGTGGGGAGCAACGAACCATGTCTGTTTATGAGGTGTAACATATATGCTAAATAAGGACTCTTGAAACAGATGGAACACACTATAAGGGAAATTCTAATAAGGACTAAATTATCTCATTAAAACTGTGGAGTCAGGCGGTGGGGATAAGGGGAAGGTAAAAGTGTTCCAGAAGTCTAAGGCAGGGAGAGGTGGGGAGGAAAAATGGGAGAAAGGAAGGGAAGTGAAAGTAATCTAAAGGTCACATTTTGGCCAGCCGCGGTGGCTCACGCCTGTAATCCCAGCACTTTCGGAGGCCGAGGTGGGCGGATCACCTGAGGTCAGGAGTTCAAAACCAGCCTGGCCAACATGGCGAAACCCTGTCTCTACTAAAAATACAAAAATTAGCTGGGCCTGGTGGCGGGCTCCTGTAATCCCAGCTACTTGGGAGGCTGAGGCAGGAGAATCGCTTGAACCCAGGAGGTGGAAGTTGCAGTGAGCCAAGATCGTGCCACTGTACTCCAGCCTGGGGAACAAGAGTGAGACTCTGTCTCAAAAATAAAAAAGATTACATTTTATTGGGATGGGGAGGAAATAGAAGGTAATTAAAGTATTCTGGAAATAGTAGCTGTTGTTTTCATACACTAGAAAAGTCATGTGTATCTATCTGAGAGCAGGGACAGGGATGGTAACTATTAATAGAATGACAAACTCCAAATTAATGAGGAGAAAAATTGAATGAGTAGTAATTTATTTAATCTAGCAAAGATTAAAAAAAAGAAGAGTTAACAACAATATAAAAAAACTTTAAAACAAGTAAGATGGAAATAAGAAAATCAAATACATCACTCATTACAGTAAATAAAAGCGGACTGAAATCTACCATTAAAAGACTGTCAGATTTTGTTATAAATCAAATTTAGGCACACATTACTTAAGAGAAACACACTTAAAGTGATAAAGTTTTAAAATAAAGACATGGAAAGAGATACCAGGCAAATATTAAATATTATTTTAAAAACCAGAGGCTATATACAGACAATCCCCGACTTAACAATGGTTTAACTTAGGATTCTTTGACTTTACGATGGGTTTATCAGGGTATTAAATGCATTTTCGACTAACATTACTTTCTACTTATGATGGGTTTTTCGGAACGTAGTCCCATCCTAAGTCAAGGAACATCTGTACTGATATCAAACAAGAGAAATTTAAGTTACGGGCTGGGGGAGGTGGGAGAAGACTTCCTGCAAAGGGATAGGAGGATTTTGGGAGAGATAGGAAGGTTTTGTATCTTAATTGTGGTGGTAATTACACAACTGAATACACTTGTCAAAACTCATAGGATTGTACACTTAAAATGGATCAATTTGTTGTATATAAATTACAATGCAATAAAACTGGTTTTTAAAAAAAGAATGAAAATACTATGTTCACAAAATAAAAATGTGAAATGAGAAAACAGCGTAACATGAGAAACTCTCTCAATTACCCTGTATCATATATTATACTGTCAAAAAGATAGCAAGCTTTAAACAACACACGCACAGGAAAAATAAAGGGAGCACTTATTTCAAGAAATTATGAAAAGAATAAGAAAAGAAATCAAATCAGAAAATAATAACTAAAGCTAACACTAATGAAATGAAAAAAAAAAAACAAAAAACAAAAATACTAAGAAGGCCCAGGCACAGTGGCTCATGCCTGTAATCCCAGCGCTTTGGGAAGCCAAGGCGGGAGAATCACTTGAGCTTAGGAGTTCGAAACCAGCCTGGGCAACATGGTGAAACCCCATCTCTGAAGAAAAAAAAAAAAAAGTACAAAAATTAGCCAGGCATGGTGGTGTACGCCTGTAGTCCCAGCTACTTGGGAGGCTGAGATGGGAGGTTAGATTGAGCCCAGGAGGTGGAGGTTGCAGTGAGCTGAGATTGCACCACTGCACTCCAGCCAGGGCAACAGAGCCACACCCTGTCTCAAAAAGAAAAAAAAAAAAAAACTAAAAAGGATAAATAAATCCAAAAAATTGTCTTTTAAAAGAGCTAATAAGGCTGGGCACAGTGGCTCGTGCCTGAAATCCCAGCACTTTGGTAGGCTGAGGCAGGCAGATCACCTGAGGTCAGGAGTTTGAGACCAGCCTGGCCAACACGGTGAAAACCTGTCTCTCCTAAAAAATACAAAAATTAGCAGGGTGCAGTGGCAGACACCTGTAACCCCAGCTACTTGGGAGGCTGAGGAAGGAGAATCGTTTGAACCCAGGAGGTAGAGGTTGCAGTGAGCCGAGATGGTGCCACTGCACTCCAGCCTGGGCGACAGAGTAAGGCTCCCTCTCGAAAAAAAAAAAAAAGCTAATAAAATAAACCTCTTGCAAGCCAAATTAAAGGGGGAAAAAGAGAGAAAGATTAAATAGACAAGATTAGTTATGAGAAAGAAAACATTCTTACAAATAGAGGAGAAGGCCGGGCACAGTGGCTCAAGCCTGTAATCCCAGCACTTTGGGAGGCCGAGGCGGGCGCATCACGAGGTCAGGAGGTCAAGACCATCCTGGCTAACACGGTGAAACCCCGTCTCTACTAAAAATACAAAAAATTAGGCGTGGTGGTGGGCACCTGTAATCCCAGCTACTCGGGAGGCTGAGGCAGAATGGCGTGAACCCGGAAGACGGAGCTTGCAGTGAGCCGAGATCGCGCCACTGCACTCCAGCCTGGGTGACAGAGCGATACTCCGTCTCAAAAAAAAAAAAAGAGGAGAAAATTGAAGAATTATAAAACAGTACAACTGAAAATCAACCAATTTGAAAATTTAGAGGAAATGGATATCTTTCAAGAAATATATAAATTACCAAAATTGACCCAGGAGAAAGAGGAAAGCTTGAAGAGCCCAACTTATTTTAGAAAAGACTGCAATAGGAAGGTGATGAGAGACTCCTTTTGGGAAATACTGCATTCACATGGCACCAGATATGAGTTTTTTCTAACCTTAAATAATAATTTCTATGCCATTTATTTATTTTTATTTATTTATTTATTTATTTTGAGTGGAGTCTGGCTCTGTAGCCCAAGCTGGAGTGCAGTGGCTCGGCGATCTCGGCTCACTGCAAGCTCCGTCTCCCGGGTTCACGCCATTCTCCTGCCTCAGCCTCCCGAGTAGCTGGGATTACAGGTGCCCACCACCACGCCTAATTTTTTGTATTTTTAGTAGAGACGGGGTTTCACCGTGTTAGCCAGGATGGATCTCGATCTGCTGACGTCGTGATCCGCCCGCCTCGGCCTCCCAAAGTGTTGGGATTACAGGCGTGAGCCACCGCGCCCAGCCGTTCTATGCCGTTTAAACTGGTCAAGAGTATAGAAAACGAAGAAAGGCTCCAAGATTTAATTGTAAAGCTAGTACATCTTGATACTATTCCCAAAAAAACTCTAAGTAAAAAAGAAAAAGAGGAAAACTGCTTAAATATAATAAAGACTAGTTACTAAAACCTAAAAGCAAATATGGTTCTCAATGGTGAAACACTGAAACCACTTCAATTAAAATAAAAATTTAGACAGAAATGCCTGCTATTATCCTTATTATTTGACATATCTTGGAAGTTTTACCAAATTCAGTAAAACAAGACAATGAATTGTTACGCTCATCTGAAAAGAAATTATAATATTATCTTTTTTGCTGCTGACATGATTGTACCAGAAAAACCAAAAGACTAGTAAAAATAAAAAGCCATAGTAAAAAGCAATATAATTTGGAGGGCTGACTGGATACAAGATAAATATAATGAAAATAAATTGTTTTTACTCTAGCAATAAGCATATTGAATTGAAAATGGAAGCAGTTTCAATTTAGAGTTACAAAGTTATAAAATTCTTAGGATAATATATAGATAATGAAGCTACTCAGAAAAAAAAATTCTTAGGATAATAATGATAGCCACCATAATGCCATGAACTATTCTTAGCACTTTGTATCAACTCAATCAAGCCTCACAACATCCTCTTGAAACAGATTACTATTATTATTATTTTGTATTTTTTGTAGAGACGGGCGTTTTGCCATGTTGCGCAGGTTTATCTCGAACTCCTGGGCTTAAGCGATCCACCTGCCTCAGCTTCTCAAAGTGCTGGGATTACAGGTGTGAGCCACTGCGTCCAGCCACTATTATTGTTCTTATTTTACAGAAGAGAACACTGAGGAACACACAGATTAAGTGATTTAGCCCCAGATTACTATTAATAGCTGGTAAAATCTCAGAGCTGGGATTTGAACCCTGGCAGTTTGGCAGATACTTCCCTTGTAACCACTATGATATGGTACATACATTTACTCATATTTAATCAAGAAACACATAAGTATTCATATGAATAAAGTTATACAGTAAAATATTATTAAACACTATAAAACAAGATGGGAATAAACAGAAAATTAACCATATCCTTTTGGGAAGAGAAAATATCATAAAAAGTGTCAGTTCTCCAAAAATTAAAGTGTATAATTCCAATTAGTAAAACAAAGAACAAGCAAAGAAAAAACTATTTTTTAAAAATACAAAGATTTTGATAGGGAAAATAGTGAGAAAAAATAGAGAAATTCACTTTAGCAGCCGGGTGCGGTGGCTCATGCCTGTAATCCCAGCACTTTGGGAGGCTGAGGCGGGGGGATCACCTGAGGTCAGGAGTTCAAAACCAGGCTGGCCAACATGGCGAAACCCCTTCTCTACAAAAATACAAAAATTAGCCGGGCGTGATGGCACATGCCTGTAATTCCAGCTACTCGGGAGGCTGAGGCAGGAGAATAGCTTGAACCCGGGAGGTGGAGGTTGCAGTGAGCTGAGACGCGCGGCTGCACTCCAGCCTGGGCGGCGACAGGGCAAGACTCCCATCTCCAAAAAAAAAAAAAAAAGAAAAGAAATTCACTTTACCAAATATGATAACATAAGGCCACTTAATCAAATGAATAAAGCAAAGGGGAAAAATTAGTCAGTGGAATAAAACAGAGAATCCCAAACAAGGTGATTGTATATACAAAAACATGACAATTCAAGTCATTGGAGAAAGTGGGCTGACATAATCAGTGGAACTGAACATCTAGCTCTCCTTACTGAGTGCTACCATGTGCTGGGACTGTGCACTAGCAGGGCTTGCATACCCATGTAGCAGCAGAGCATGGTGGGTAAAAGCACACCTTCTGTGGCAGGACATTCGCGTCATCAAAGGTGGAGGCGGGCAGAGACTGACTTGGGTTCCAGTCTATGTTCACGGGTTCTGGCTTATCCTTGCTCTGTCCCACTTTTGCCCATCTTCCCTTCCTGGCTGCCTGGCCTGCAGAATCCGAGCTCCAGCAGCAGAAGCAAAGACAACACCTTTCAGAGACTGTTGAGCTTGCTCCCACAAATGCATAATTGAGCAATTCTCTGTACCAAATAAGAGCAATTCTGTGTACTAAATCTCTTAATTGAAAAAATATGTATGTGTGTGTATGTATATATAAACATACATACATATGCTTATGCTAGTGGTTTTACTTCTCTGATGGGCCTTGACTGACATACTAAATGAAGGATATACAAGTGTTCATGATATTCTTTCAACTTTCCTTTAAGCTTAAAATGTTTCAAAATAAAATTCTGGGGGGATAGAAAAATATACACAAAGGATTCTAACCTCAGTTGAAGAGCTAATCCAAATGGTTAAGAAACATGAAAATACGCTCAAATTCACTACAAATCAGGGACATGCAGCTTAAAGTAAAAATGAGATGCCTGCCGGGCGCAGTGGCTCATGTCTGTAATTCCAGTACTTTGGGAGGCCCAGGCAGGAAGATTGCTTGAGCCCAGGAGTTTGAGACCAACCTGGGCAACTAGAGAGACCCCCATCTCTTAAAAAAAAAAAATTTAATTAGCCAGGCATTGTGGTGCATGCCTTTAGTCCCAGCTACTTGGGAGGCTGAACTGGGAGGATCACTTGAGCCCAGCAGGTTGAGGCTGCAGCGAGCAGTGATCATGCCACTGCACTCCAGCCTGGGCAACAGAGCAAGATCCTGTCTCAAAAAAACAAAAAACAAAAAAAGATACCACTTACATGCATGGCGAAAAACTGGAGCTTAAAACCAGTGGGGAACTCTGAGAGCCAGTGTAGAACATGCGCCCACACAGTTACTCTCCCACTCCCAGGGTGAGGTGGCTGGTGTATTCATATACCAGTTCCCACCAGTCTTTGTTTGAGAGCTGCTTTACAGGGGGAGGCATGGATTCTCCAGCACTCCTGGCCCTCTGCTCTGCTCACCTACCAGAGAAAAGCTTCAGGCAAGGAGCTGCAGGCCTGCCCTTAGCCTCTGGGCTTATGTGCAGCCAGCGGTGAGGCCTGAGGAGAAATGGCTGAGGCACTGACAGTATCTGCCGAGCAGCGAGCATCACTCAGATCCACTTATGTCTTGTGTTAAATTCATGCTGTCACTGTTTCTTACTACAGGTGCCTGCCACCATGCCCAGCTAAATTTTTTTGTATTTTTAGTAGAGATGGGGTTTCACCATGTTAGCCAGGATGGTCTCGAGCTCCTGACCTTGTAATCCACCGGCCTCAGCCTCTCAAAGTACTGGGATTACAGGCGTGAGCCACCACGCCCCGCCCAGGTCATAGTTTATTTAAAAAGGAGGAGGAAGAAGAGGAATAAGCTGGCCCTGGTAACACGTGCCTGTAGTCCCAGATACTTCGGAGGCCAAGGCAGGAGGATTGCTGGAGCCCAGGAGTTCAAGTCCAGCCTGGGCAACATAACAAGACCCCTGTCTCTTTTTTAAAAAGAAGAAGCCAGGCAGAGTGAGTCATGCCTGTAATTTCAGTACTTTGGGAGGCTGAGGCAGGAGGATTGCTTAAGGCCAGGTGTTCAAGGCCAGCCTGGTCGACATAGCGAAACCTTGTCTCTACAACAACAACAAAATTAGTCTGGTGTGATGGTGAGTGCCTGTAGTCCTAGTTACTTGGGAGGCTAAGGTGGGAGGGTCACTTGAACCCAGGAGTTTGAGGCTACAGTGATCTATGGTCGAACCACTGTACTCCAGCCTGGGTGACAGAGTGAGACGCTGACTCTGATTAAAAAAGAAAAAAAAAAGAGGTACAAAAACTTATCATAGGAGCATCAGTGGGACAAGCTAAAATCCCCAGTGCTGTGGTTGGTTCTGAGACTGCAACTGACATTCTTCATTTTCCTCCCCTTCTGTCCACACTAGACTCCCCTCACTCTCAAGCAGTACTTCTTGCTGGACTGAATTACTTGCCCAGTGGGTGAGCCAGACCTTCATTTCTGAGCCTTCTGATAACTGGGTTCTTTCCAGGCTGTGGTGGTTAAAGTTGCCCAATATATCACTGAGCATGGAACACCAAGGGGCACCCATGAATCCCCTAACATGCAGATACAGGCATACTTCAGAGATATTGTGGGTTCAGGTTTGAGATCACTGCAACGATCACAGGATTTTTTTTTTGTTTCCCAATGCATATAAAAGTTATGTTTAGCCGGGCGCAGTGGCTCTCGCCTGTAATCCTAGCACTTTGGGAGGCCGAGGTGGGTGAATTGCTTGAGCTCAGGAGTTTGAGACCAGCCTGGGGAACACGGTGAAACCCTGTCTCTACTAAAAATACAAAAAAAAATTTAGCCTGTCCTGGTGGTGCATGCCTGTAATCCCAGCTACTTGGAAGGGTGAGACAGGAGAATCGCTTGAACCCGGGAGGTGGAGGTTGCAGTGAGCTGAGATTGCACTCCAGCCTGGGCAACAGAGTGAGACTCCATCTCAAAAAAAAAAAAAGGCCGGGCGTGGTGGCTCACGCCTGTAATCCGATCACTTTGGGAGGCCGAGGTGGGCAGATCACGAAGTCAGGAGATTGAGACCATCCTGGCTAACACAGTGAAATCCCCTCTCTACTAAAAATACAAAAAGATTAGCCAGGCATGGTGGCGGGCACCTGTAGTCCCAGCTACTCGGGAGTAGCTGAACTCCCAGGAGGCGGAGCTTGCAGTGAGCTGACATTGTGCCACTGCACTCCAGCCTGGGAGACAGTGCGAGACTCCATCTCAAAAAAAAAAAAGTAATGTTTATACTATACTGTAGTCTATTAAGTGTGCAGTAGCATTATACCTTAAAAAACAATGTAATACCTTAATTAAAAAATACCTTATTGTTAAAAAATGTTAATGATCATCTGAGCCTTCAGTGAATCATAATCTTTTTGCCAGTGGAGGGTCTTGCCTTGATGTTGGTAGCTGCTGACTGATCAGGATGGTAGTTGCTGAAGGCTGGAGTGGCTCTGGCAATTTCCTAAAATAAGACAACATAAAGTTTGCCACATTGATTCTTTTCACGAAAGATTTCTCTGTAGCATGCAATGTTTGGTAGCATTTTATGCACAGCAGAACTTTCAAAATTGGAGTCAATCCTCGCAAACCCTGACACTGCTCTATCAACTAAGTTTATAGAATATTCTAAATCCTTTGTTGTCATTTCAACATAATCTTCACCAGTAGATTCCATCTTAAGAAACCACTTTCTTTGCTCATTCATAATAATCAATTCCTCATCTGTTCAAGTTTGATCATGAGATTGCACCAATTCAGTCACATCTTCAGACTCCATTTCTAACTGTAGTTCTCTTGCAGTTTCCATCAGAGCTGCAGTTACTTCCTCCATTGAAGTCTTGAACTCCTCCAAGTCATCCATGAGGGTTGAAATCAAGTTCTTCCAAACTCCTGTTAATGTTGATATTTTGACCCCCTCCCATGAGTCGTGAATGTTTTTAATTGTATCTAGAATGGCGAATCCTCTTCAGAAGGTTCTCAGTTTACTTTGCCCAGATCCATGAGAGGAATCCCTATGGCAGCTGTAGCCTTACAAAATGTGTTTCTTAAATAAGGTCAAAATTACTTCTTGACCCACGGGCTACAGAATGGAAGTTAGGCGTGAAAACAACGTTAATCTCCATCAGAGATCTTGGGTGACTAGGCACATTGCCAATGAGCAGTAATATCTTGAAAGGAATTTTCTTTCTGAGAAGTAGTAGGTGTCAATGGTGGGCTTAAAATATTCACTAAACTGTGCTGTGGACAAATGTGCTGTCATCCAGGCTTTGTTCTTCCATGTATAGAGCACGGGAAGGATAGATTTACCATAATTCTTAAGGGCCCTAGGATTCTGAGAATGGTAAATGAGCACTGGCTTCACCTTAAAGCCACGAGCTGCATTAGCCTCTAACAAGAGAGTCAACCTGTCCTTTGAAGATTTGAAGCCAGGCACTGACTTTTCTTCTCCAGCTATGAAAGTCCTAGATGGCCTCTTCTCCAATAAAAGGCTGTTTAGTTTGCATTGAAAATCTGTTGTTTAGTGTAGCCACCTTCATCAATGATCTTAGTTAGATCTTCTGGATAACTTGCTGCAGCTTCTACATCAGCACTTGCTGCTTCACCTTGCACTTTTATGTTATAGAGCTGGCTTCTTTCCTTAAACCTCAGGAACCAACCTCTGCTGGCTTCAGATTTTTCTTCTGCAGCCTCCTCAATTCTCTCAGCCTCCAGAGAATTGAAGAGAGTTAGGGTCTTGCTCTGGATTAGGCTTTGGCTTAAGAGAATGTTGTAGCTGGTTTGATCTTCTATCCAGACCACTCAAACGCTCTCCATATCAGCAATAAGACTGTTTTGCTTTCTTATCATTTCTGTGTTCACTGGAGTAGCTCTTTTAATTTCCTTCAAGAACTTTTCCTTTGCATTTGCAACTTGGCTAACTGGCATAAGAGGCCTAGCTTTTGGCCTATCTTGGCTTTGGACATGCCTTCCTCACTAACCTTAATCCTTTCTGGCTTTTGATGTAAAGTGAGAGATGTGCAACTCTTCCTTTCACTTGTACACTTAGAGACCATTGTAGGGTTATTAACTGTCCTAATTTTAAGATTGTTGTGTCTCAGGGAATAGAGAGACCCAAGGAGAGGGAGCAAGACAGGGAATAGCCAGTCAGTGGAGCAGTCAGAACACACACAACTTTTATTAAGTTCAATGTCTTATAGGTATGGTTCATGGTGCTCCAAAACAATGACAATATTAACATCAAAAATCACTGATCACAGATCTCCATAACAGATACAATAATAATGAAAAAAGTTTGAAATATTTTAAGAATTACCAAAATGTGATGACACAGAGACACGAAGTGAGCACGTGCTGTTGGAAAATGGCACCAGTAGACTTGCTTGCCACAGGGTTGCCATAAACCTTCAACCTGTAAAAAACTCAGTATCTGTGAAGCGTAATAAGTGAAGTGCAATAAAATGAGGTGTGCCTGGACATTCCTACAGTATGTAGCAGCAGCCCTAACCCCTCATGATAATCAGGCAATCAGGTTCAGTCACCTCTGCCAGGGTAATCGCTCCCCACTAAGTATGTGAGCTAGGAGTAGCCAGGCACGATCGCTAGGTATGGAGAATTCTGTGGGTCAAGGTAGATGCTCTCTATACATCCTTTCATCTTTAACTCCCACTGCCAACTCAGTGGTCATCTCCATATTTTCCCACTTAAATTCCTGAAAATTGGCATTTGATAAACTCATCCTGATGTCCAGGTCGCTGGCTTGTCCATGGACTGGCCAGCCTTAGGCAGAGGCCCACTTGCTCATTTTATATTTTTATTAAATTAAATTTATTATTATTATTATTATTATTATTATTATTATTATTATTATTATTATTTTTGAGACAGAGTCTCCCTTTGTCGCCCAGGCTGGAGTGCAGTGGTGTGATCTTGGCTCACTGCAACCTCCGCCTCCCAGGTTCAAGTGATTCTCCTGCCTCAGCCTCCCGAGTAGCTGGGATTACAGGCATGTGCCACCACGCCCAGCTAATTTTTGTATTTTTAGTAGAGATGGGGTTTCATCGTGTTGGTCAGGCTGGTCGTGATCCACCGACTTCAGCCTCCCAAAGTGCTGGGATTACAGGCGTGAGCCACTGGGCCTGGCCTTTATAAATTTGTCTTTTTAACCCATTTTTTTCTGAGACGGAGTCTTGCTCTGTCACCCAGGCTGGAGTGCAGTGGTGGAATCTCGGCTCACTGCAAGCTCCGCCTCCTGGGTTCAAGCTATTCTCTTGCCTCAGCCTCCTGAGTAGCTGGGATTACGCATGTACCACTATGCCCAGCTAATTTTGTATTTTTAGTAGAGACGGGGTTTCGCCATGTTGGCCAGGCTGGTCTTGAACTCCTGACCTCAGGTGATCCGCCTGCCTCGGCCTCCCAAAGAGCTGGGATTATAGGTGTGAGCCACTGCGCCAGGCCTCGCTTGCTAATTTTAATCAGCTGAGGTCAAAGGGGTTGGAGGTCACAAGACACAATTTCTGGGGACTAGGGCTGCCTCATCAGCAGGGGTTTGCCTGCTTAAAAAGGGCTATAGGTAGTATTTAAGTATGGGATAAAAAACACAAAGTAAAAAACAAAACAAAAAAAAAGGGCTATAGGTGTGGCTGGCACAATGTTAGATGTATTTGGTAAGGGGGCTACAGTTCTATGTGGCAGCCTTTTGTCACAAGCTTCTTTCCAGTCACTGGGTCAGTTTATAAGGCGCTTACAGCCTGCTGAGTCCAGTTTCCCAATTTGTAAAATAAGCAGGCTGGGCTCTCTAAGATCCCTTCAAGTGTAAAATAATAACTGCCTTTCTCCTCAAACTTTGTTACATAAACAATTGTTAACCCAGGACTCCCTCCATCCTATGCTTATGCAATTTATTTTTTGAATTCCAAATTTCATTTTTCAATAAATGCTTGCTGTATTATCTTTTTTTTATTTTAATTTTGATTCATTTATTTTTTGAGGGAGGGTTTCACTGCTGCCCAGGCCAGAGTGCAGTGGCACAAACATGGCTGACAGCAGCCTCGCCCTCCTGGGCTCAAACAATCCTCCCCACTCAGCCTCCCAAGAAGCTGAGACCATAAGCATGTGCCATCACACCTGCCTAATTTTTAAATTTTTTGTAGAGATGGAGTCTCGCTGTGTTGGCCAGTCTGGTCTCGAATTCCTAGGCCCAAGTGATCCTCCCACCTCAGCTTCCCAAAGTCTTGGGATTATAGGCATGAGCCATTGTGCCTGACTTTGCTGTTATTATTATTATTATTATTATTATTTTTTTTGAGACAGAGTCTCGCTCTGTCACCCAGGCTGGAGTGCAGTGGCACCACCTTGGCTCACTGCAACCTCTGCCTCCCGGGTTTAAGCGATTCTTTTGCTTCAGCCTCCTGGGTAGCTGGGACTACAGGTGTGCGCCGCCATGCCCGGCTAATTTTTGTATTATTAGTAGAGACGGGGTTTCACCATATTGGCCAGGCTGGTCTCGAAATTCTGACCTTGTGATCTGTGCACCTTGGCTTCCCAAGGGATAACAGGCGTGAGCCATCGTGCCTGGCCTGCTGTTATTATTTTTATGACATTTCATTCTGTGGTTTGGAGCCATCATTTTGCCTTGTTGCAAGGCTTGAATCTTGAGTTGGCCTTTTGATGTATTTGCTTTTCAGCTCTGTGCCATTAAGCACAGAGAACGTGCTTTCTGTGTCACCATTTGAGGCAGGACCAAGGAGAGGCCTGGGGCAAGTCACCGAAGACCTATCTGTACTCTTTGGCTTCAGTGATCAAAGAAATCCAAGTCTCCCTCATGGTGCAATCAGGTGGCCCATTTTTCTCCCTCCTGACTCTGAAGCCTTTGTGACAGATTTTAAAGAGGCGTTTGTAAAGTCCACACCTAGTGTGTCTCCAGCAATCATACTCTTGATTGAGGTCAGACTATCTTGTATTTTACAGATGGAAAACTGTCACTTGCCCAAAGTCACATACTGTGGCAAGGCTGGTCTCTTTAACCAGAGTCTCCCTATTCTTTCTATTACATCATGCTTCCTCCACAGTTCACGAAACTCTTGCTGCTCTAATAAATTACACACTTGGTGGCTTAAACAATACAAATTTATTGTCTTACAGTTGTGGAGATCAGGTCGACACAGGTCTCACTGGGCTAAAGTCAAGGTGTCTGCAGGGCTGGTTCCTTTCTGGATGCTGAAGGGGAAAATCTGCTTCCTTGCCTTTTCCAGCTCTCAGAGGCTTCTTGCATTCCTTGGCTCAAGGTCCTCTTCCTGCACCTTCAAAATCAGGACCTATGGGTTGAGTGTTTCTCCTGTGGCGTCTCTCTGGCCCTCCTTCCCTCACCGAATCTCTTTCTTCCCATGATGGGAAAGGTTCTCCCTTTCAAGGACTCATGTGATCAGAGTGTGCCTACCAAGATAAAACAGGATAATCTCTCTATCTAAAGGACCTTGATTAACATAGCCACATCTACATTTTGTCAGGTAAAGTGACATAGTCACAGGTTCTGGGGATTCGGGTGTGAACATTTTTGGGAGGCCATTATTCTGGCTACCACACCCTGTCAGTAAACTAGGGCTTCCCGGAGGCCAGTGGGTTAAAGTAATGAAGACAGATATAGCCTGACTTTCAGAGTCTTAGGAGATGCTCCCGATGTCCTGACATAGACTGTATCAATGACACAAAGTTGATCAGGTGAGCCCCCTTCCACATGGCAAATTCTATCTGATGCCCTCATGGTTGGGCCCCCTCCTCTTGTCAACCGTAAACACCCATTCCCTGTAATGAGTAGTGGGGAGGCCAGGAGAGGGCAAAACATGGGTGTTAGTGTCTGCCCTCCAGGCTCTCAGATGATGATAGTATGGTTCTGGAAAAGCTGAAATGTACAGCACTGACCCCTCACCTCTTAAAAGTTCCCTGATATTTGGGCAGTAGAGGTACAGCTTGGAGTTACAGGTATCTTTTCTGATGTCCAGCCTCTAAATGTAATGTGAATGTCAAAACTGTAAAGACCCCAAGTGACACACGTGGGGAAGGGGAAGGATCCTACTCTCTTACCCTGTTCACAAAGGAAGGCTACAAGCTGGTCTAAGACAGAAGCGAATGCGGCCTGTGATGAAAAGATATGTAACCATCACCAAAAGAGCTAAAGAGGAGAAAAATATAGAACAAGCCTGGTTAAGACATTCAAGATATTGCGGTGTGCAGTTCCATCTGGGGATCCCCTTCTTTTTTTTATTTTTTTTTATTTTTGGAGACAGAGTCTCACTCTGTGGCCCAGGATGGGCACAATCTCGGCTCACTGCAACCTCTGCCTCCCGGGTTCAAGCAATTCTCAGCCTCCCTAGTAGCTGGAATTACAGGCACATGCCACCATTCTCAGCTAATTTTGTATTTTTAATACAGATGGGATTTCACCATGTTTGCCAGGCTAGTCTCAAATTCCTGACCTCAGGTGATCCGCCCACCTCAGCCTCCCAAAGTGCTGGGATTACAGGTGTGAGCCACCATGCCGGCCAGGAGATCCCCTTCTTAAGCCTCTCTACAGGTCAAGTTAGGCAGCAAGCCCATGTATTCCATTTTTTTTTTTTTTTTTGGAGATGGAGCTTTGCTCTTGTTGCCTAGGCTGGAGTGCAATGGTGTGATCTTGGCTCACTGCAACCTCCACCTCCTGGGTTCAAGCGATTCTCCTGCCTCAGCCTCCTGAGTAGCTGGGACTACAGGTTCGAGCCACCACACCAGGCTAATTTTTTTGTATTTTGTAGTAGAGACGGGGTTTCACTATGTTGGCCACAGACACCTTTTTGAGTGCAGACTAGAAGCTTGGTTTTGGCATTTTACCTGGCATCTACATCATGTTCACCTGTGTATTGGATCTGAAAACTGGGACATTCTACAGTTTGTGGAACTCCTGCAAATGTTCCTGCAATTGATTTACTCACACACTGCCCACACCCACCCCCTGTACACCACAGGTTCAAGTATTTGACTCTTCCCACCCCACCCACCCCTGCCACCAGCTGCTCTATACCCTCCCACTCACTCTCAGGGCCCCTGAGGTCCCCAGGGAGTCACCACCACATACCACTCTCTGTATCTGGGGGAAGGTCTAGGTTGTTGGAAACTTTAATCAAGCAAGGACAGTTAACAGCTGCAGAGGCACCTTAGGAAACAGTGAGCTTCAAAAAGGAAATACTTGTAGGATCTCTTGTGATGACCTTTGACGACTTTTCTGAAAATGACCCGTCATTCTCTGCCATGGAAAATAACAGTGATCACAGGCAGCCTTCAGCCCACAGAAGGCTTCCTCCTCCAGGCAGGCTCTGACATAGCCGCTCACCTCACAGATGCCCTAACAGACTGCAAAGTCCTGGGAACATGCATATCCATGCACACACATGCACACGTGCCTCTCTACAAGTACATTTTTGAGGTCACAGCTTTGCCTCAGTGGCCACTTCCTCTAGGGCTGGCTGGGCGGAGCTATTGGCAGAGCTCTAGGGTCCCTGGCAGTGTCCTGCCACACACCACCAATCATCCGAGCTGTTGGCATGTGGTGAGGACCTTTTCCCCCTTCCTTTTTCCTCCCCACAGCTGCAGGAGGGGGATTCTGCGGGGCGGATGTCACTTTGCTAGGGGCGGGTTCTTCCCACCCCCACACTACATCTTGTTCTAGCTCCTTCCTATCCCGGATGTAGGCCATTTTGGGGTTCCTAGTAGGGGTCACATCCCGGTAAAAGAACATTAGGGAGCACCTTTGGGCACCCCTGCTCAGCAGCCCCCTTTCCCCCAACTGGTTCCCTCTCTCCTCCATCAGCCAGGCCCCCACCACCTATGAGGGCCTCGCGGTCCCTGGGTCCTCCGCCACAAATGCCCCCTTTTTCCTTGGGGCTGGGTGGGAAGGGACAGCTTTGGGACTTTTTAAAGAAAGAACTTTGCTAGGAAAGTAAGAGACGAACCAAAACCAAACCAAGAAAATGTCAAGACCTCCGCTGGTCCGGAATCTGCGCTCGGCCTCTGGCTCTGTTCTGCTCCTCTGCCTTGACTTCACCTAGGAAGCTGCAGCCTTCTTAAGCCCTCTGCAACTCCCTTGCTCACCTGCTCCCTGGCTCCCCATGAGGGTGCATGGGGGGCAGTGCTGCCACTTGCCTTTCCAGAGGTGCTGCAGCCATGGCTCTTCCTTACCTTCACCTCTGGCCCAGGCCTGTTCCTGAACCCCCAGTTACTGGAACCCCCAGGATGATGAGAAGCGAGGGATGCAAACCAGGAACCCCCAGTCTCATGGGGAGAACGGAGCCTCACCCTGGAGCTGGGGAGATCGTCTGGGTCAGTGCAGCTCCAGCTACACATCATAAGCCCCAGTGGACAAGGCAGCCAGGAGGAGGGTGGGGCAGATCAGGGCAGATAACCAGAAGGACCGAGTTTGGGGCCCAGCATGGCCCATATGGGTTTAAGATGCATGGAGAGGAAGCACAGGGAGGACATGGGGACAGGCCCATCCCCTACCCCTGTGTTCTGGACCTCAGCGTCCCCTCCGTGGCCCCTCTGGCCCTGGCCCAGGGATGCCTTCTGCTTCATTGAGCCCATCTGTTTGAGACTTGCTAACACCTTCCTCTTTTGTGACTGGAAGTCACAGGGCCAATTGCTAAGCCGTGCAGTCACAGAGGGAACACAGAGCCTAGTTGTAAACGGACAGAGACGAGAGGGGCAAGGGAGGACAGTGGATGACAGGGAAGACGAGTGGGGGCAGAGCTGCTCAGGACCATGGCTGAGGCCATCACCTATGCAGATCTGAGGTTTGTGAAGGCTCCCCTGAAGAAGAGCATCTCCAGCCGGTTAGGACAGGGTAAGGGGGATGAGGCCTCCCCTTGATCCTGCATCCCCACTTCCCGCCCCACAGATCCCATTCCCAAATCCCACCTTGGTCCCTTTTCTCTTCTCTCTAGACCCAGGGGCTGATGATGATGGGGAAATCACCTACGAGAATGTTCAAGTGCCCGCAGTCCTAGGGGTGCCCTCAAGCTTGGCTTCTTCTGTACTAGGGGACAAAGCAGGTCTGGAGAGCCTGGGGGATGTGTGTTTGTTGGGGGGCTGTGTCTTGAGCTGGGGAGTCCACAATGTTTTTGTTGTTGTTCTTGAGACAGGGTCTTGTTCTGTCACTCAGGCTGGAGTGCAGTGGTGTGATCATGGCTCACTGCAGCCTCGACCTCCTGGGCTCAAGTGATCCTCCTGCCCTGGCCTCCCAAAGTGTTGGGATTGCAGGCGTGCGCCCCCATGCCATGGCCCTCAGTATTCTTGAGAGCACAATACCCTGGGGAAAGGAGGAGGGCGGTTCTTAGGAAACAGAAGAATAGGAACAGGATAAATGGGAGCCAGGGGAGGAAGAAAGATTCCTCCCGCAAGGTGGAGACCCCTTTCGGGGAGATAAGGGCTGCGGAGGGATAGGGCAGCCCTGTGGGGGATGAGTTCTAATGGGAAACGGGGAGCCATGGGAGGGAAAAGAGGTGATGGGAGATGGATGAGAGCAAAGGGGGAGAGGGTTTGGAGCCGACAGATAAGGGGCCTCTGAGGAAACGATAAAGGGAGAACTAGGAGAGATGAGGGGGTCCCGGGAAAAGATACAGTGAGACCCAGGAGGAAGCCGAGAGAGTCCCGGGCAGAGGAGGAACTCAGGAGAGTGACACTGTGTCCCAGAGCAGCTCTAGCAGGCAACGTAGGGCAGACTGGAGTTTCCCAGTGGCGAGGGCGAAGCGGGTGCGCAGGAGGAGAAGGGGCAACACTCGGGGCTTCCGGTCTCACACTGGATGCTCCCCTCGACAGCGGTCAAGTCGGAGCAGCCAACTGCGTCCTGGAGAGCCGTGACGTCACCAGCTGTCGGGCGGATTCTCCCCTGTGAGTGTGCCTGTGCGGGGCAGCCGCGGGGCCAAGTGCTCGCGCCTGTCCCGGCTGCGGATGGCGCTGGGCCCCGCGGGGTGCAGCTCCTTCCGGGATAAACCCGGGCGCAGTCCTTCCGACGCCCGGGCTGCCGTGCCACATTCACCTTCATCCGGTGCGCCTGAATCCGACGTGCACCGCCCCCCTGCGGATGGTCCCAATTCACCTACCTGCCCCCCTTCCCCTCTCTCCGTCTGATATTTCCTTCCCCTTCTCCCAGGTAACGCCCCCGAGTCCCCACCAGCACTGATTCTGGAACACCCTCTCCCCTACCTGCGAAACACCCCGCTACCCGACAGAAACCACCATGCTTGCCCCCTCAGCTCTGCACCGCCCTCCTCTTAGGGATGCCTTCCCCAGGGGTCTCCCCCACGGACCTGTCCCTTCCTCTCTACATTCTTTACGGGGGCTGACTGCCCTCATCCATCCCACTGTCCCCCTAAGGCCGCACAACCTGCCTGCGATACCTCCTGCTCGGCCTGCTCCTCACCTGCCTGCTGTTAGGAGTGACCGCCATCTGCCTGGGAGTGCGCTGTGAGTAAGGCTGTCCCTACTTCCCACTTACACCGAACGACTTTCGTCCCGACTCTCGCCCCAAAGCTGATCTTCCTCAGCAGGGATCATAGTCACTACCACCACCTCCTTAGCTTTGGGTTTGGTTTCCAGCCAGGGCTGTTGTCTTCCTGAATTGTCCTCACCTAATCCAGTACCTCCTTACGCTTTAGTCAGTCAAATCTTGTATTTCAGCCTGTGATGCAAAAAGTTGCAAGAAGCAGAAAAAGGGCTGATGCTGCAGTCTCAGGGCACTAGGGCAGGGCTGGAGAAGACATCCACCAAATCTCTGTGGCCAAACAGATCTGCAGGTGTCTCAGCAGCTCCAGCAGACGAACAGGGTTCTGGAAGTCACTAACAGCAGCCTGAGGCAGCAGCTCCGCCTCAAGATAACGCAGCTGGGACAGAGTGCAGAGGATCTGCAGGGGTCCAGGAGAGAGCTGGCGCAGAGTCAGGAAGCACTACAGGTGGAACAGAGGGCTCATCAGGCGGCCGAAGGGCAGCTACAGGCCTGCCAGGCA